>NW_013171800.1:0-163749 GCF_000001405.40 Homo sapiens | reverse complement strand
ATACAGAGGAGAAAATAATAAAAAATAATAAAAAAATAAAAAATAAAACAAGTATCTTCAAGGTCATAATTAAGGAAGCAGGAGATGAACAAAAGTCCCATGTTAAGTTTTCATCACTTACGGGAAATAAATTTTACTATAAGTGATTATACCCCATCAGTGTCATTACCCTGCCTACACCTTGTCAGTAACTGGAGCCTGATGATTCATAATGGATTTTGGGTAAAAATTTACTCAAAATTGAGAGGCGATACCTATACAAATAGCACATACTGTTCACTGTGAATAATAAACTCCAGAATTATTCTAAAAATATTAGAGAGAACAATAAACCCCACCAATTTATGACTTTCCATATTCCAATATCACCCAGCAATAGTAAAGCAGATAGAAAACAAGGCTAACTTCCAATGACCGAGGCTACCCATGACCAGTATTTAAACAGAAGTTCTAAAGGTAAGATATAGGCAAGGCTAACATGAAGAGGAAAGGATATCAAAGAACAGACACACACATGTGTCTAGCCAGAAATGATGGCTAGATAGGGCTACTTATGTCAGAGATATGTCAAGTGGAATGGTGTGGCAATGATTCCAAGATACTACAGCAAATGAAAATAAAATTAGAAATCCTAAAGAAAAACACAGAAATAACCAAAGAAACCTCTCTGATAGAAAAATTACGCTTCAAAAAACGGAAGATTTCTCTAAATGAATGTTTCTCCTCACAAATATAACAAATAGAAAAATAGCTTTGTGAACTGAGAGTTTAGGATGAAGACAGAAACATTTTTGAATAAAAGGGAAAATGAAAAGAAGAGCAAAACCGTCCCATCATACAATTAGCAAATGAATTAGGGCTATGAGGAACAATATACACAGGTGGAAACCATAAGTGTAATTAAAATCATAACTCCTCATTTCATTTTTGGGTTTAATGATTTTTTTTATCTTAAGATATGAATCTATTTCCACTTCTAATTATTCTGTATTTTTATTGAATCTTAAATATTCTGTGATTCCTTTTGAAAATTCTTTTCAAGAAAATATACACCTTCTCAAGATTGATTGTCTTACCGTCCACTTTTCACTATTTCTGGCATTTCTCTCAATAAACAGGCTTTGGCTTTGGAGGTTTTGAGATGATAACACACATGCACACATACACACATGGATTTAATATGCAGAATTTGCCTAGTTTTGTCAAGAAATAAAAAATTTGCTTTGTTTTTGGCAGAGTAATCTATATCTCTCTTGGGACCTGCTAATTTGACTTGGCAACATAAATATATGCTCATCTGTTTTATAAAGGTAGTCCACACTTTGGCCTAAACTTAACTTTTGTTATTAATAGTCAGTATGCTTAAAAATTAACTTTAAAAAATAGGCTTTTGGACTACAAGTACCATATTTGCATACAGATCAATACATATGATGTGGCAAGGTTATTAAATTACATGTGGCAATCAACGAAGTATACTTTTATATAAATCCAGAAGTGTATGCCATGTATATAGTCATCATTGCTAAAAAGCTACTGATTTCAACAAAACTGTATGAATTTCATGACCTGTATTTACAGATTCCGCTATTAATATAACTTTGCTTTTCTCAGTATAAAAGCTAGGAAATGTATAAACATTGCTACAGGTAGAAAAAGAAGGGAAATATGTAGTATAACTCCTTATTCACAAAATACAATGATTAGAAAAAGAAGGAGGAAGAGAAACAGAGCAAGAAATGTTTAAGGAACAAAAGTGACCTGTCGCTGTTGTGTTTTGTTTTTCCATTGTCTAACCATGAAAATTAAGTTCCATATTTAAATGTAAGTAAACTTTATTTTACCTAAATAAATTAAGTTTCCCAAATTATAATGTTCATAAATTGCAGAATTTTAAACCACTCTTTCTAGTGTAATACTCAAAGTCCTGATACATTTTTTGAAATCAGGACATTTACATTCAAGGAACAAATCTTTAAATTTGAGACCAACAAACTTTCAGAAGGTCATCTGTAGAGTTGGTGAAAAAAAATTATTATTATTCTATTCTGTTAGTCACTAATGATAGCCACTCTGCTGAAAGAGGAAGTAAATATGAGGTTTTGTGAAGACTGGGGGATGACAAATGACAAATTTATGGTTATGGACTTGCTTTTCATTTCTCCTGCAATAAGTAATGAAAAAAGTAAGAGATAGCAAGAAGAGTTTCTATAGTTGTAATTCAATTCCTATGCACTGTGGCTTACTATCAATAGTACAAGAAAAATTGTAGGGAAATATACATAAAGGGGTTAATTATATACTAAATGTGTTGCAAAAACAACCACCAAAAAGTTCACCTTGCTGATTGACCTAGCAGATTATGAATAAGAAGTCAACTTATAATTTCCATATTAAGACTGTTCTTAAACTAGCATAAGGTCAAGCACCACTCTTATAAAATATAATTGAATTTTTTTTTTTTCTTTGAGACGGAGTCTCATTCTGTCGCCCAGGCTGGAGTGCAGTGGCCCGATCTCGGCTCACTGCAATCTCCGCCTCCTGGGTTCACGCCATTCTCCTGCCTCAGCCTCCCGAGTAGCTTGGACCACAGGCACCCGCCACCATGCCCAGCTAGTTTTTTGTATTTTTAGTACAGATGGGGTTTCACCATGTTAGCCAGGATGGTCTCGATCTCCTGACCTCGTGATCTGCCCACCTCAGCCTCCCAAAGTGCTGGGATTACAGGCGTGAGCCACTGCGCCTGGTCCTTTTTTCTAATATACTATGCTTTATTATGTATGACTTTGTTATACTCCAGAAGGAAAATGTCAAAATGCCATACCTGAAACACTCTTGAATGGAATAGAGCACATTTTGGTAAAAGAAAGGAATATATTGTAATTTGAGTATATTTTTAGTGACTTTTCATTGTTTACTTCCATTCTCTTCATTAGTTATAGAATACTTTCATCTCCTTTCAATTTACTTAGTAAATTTTTTTTCATTTTTAATTTTTTTAAGAGATGGGGACTCACTATGTTGTCCAGTCTGGCCTCAAACTCCTGGGCTCAACCAATTATCCTGTGATATCCTCCAAAGCACCCTGAAACTATAGACCATTATAACCAGGTATTCTTAGTAAATTTTCCATGCAACACATTCTAATACTTCACCTGCCTAGAGCTCATTCAGTGTTCCTTGTACATAACTGTTTTTTAGAAATTATAAAACCACTTTTCATTCTGGAGACAGATTCAAACATTTAAAATATATGTATTATTAATGGAGAATAAATAATATTAAGCCAACTCTATAATCAAGAAAAAATACATCACATTATTACATAAAACTCTCTTTTCATAAAACCACAGCTTTCGAAGTTGAAACTTTTCTCAGTAATCTTCAACATGTGTTTAAATCTGTTTTAAAACTATCTCAAGCAGTTGAACACCCTTGCAAATTCAGAAACTGATTTTCTAGACAAGCCCCAGTAGTGGACAGAATAGTAGACAGACAAGACATCAAAAGTGGGTAGGTTCATAGTGTCACCCAAACTCATAGGAATGGAGCAAATTTCAGATAATTTTCAGTAGTGGTCTATGCAAGAGACTCTTCAGTTGTTAAGTTTAAAGACTGGTACATAGTAGGTTGTTAAAATGAATATTGATTAAATGAATAAACAACTGAATCAGTCCCTGAATAGATGCTTTAATAGAATGATAATTAGGAAAAAGATGGGGAATTGGTAAGTAGACTTACTCAAAAGCAACTTTCAGCATTTAAGAATAACTCTCAGACTGTTCCCATATGCTGTTTCAAGAGTAATTGTAAAGTTATATCAACATTTGGCAATAGATAAAAACATAGTAATATATCATTTCTGTGAAGAAAAGATTTTTTAAACTCTCCAAGTATTTTTTTGCTCTCTCTCAAACCATTAATTTAATAACAGAAAGAACAGAAGAAATCATATTCTGGCCAGTCACTCAGATATGATATATCCCTGATCACCATGCTTTTCACAGCTTTTACCTGGCATTATCAATTACCTTCAAATAGACTGGAGTTTCCTTTAAGCCAAAACTGATTATTTTTGTAAATATTTACCATTTAGTGCCTGGTTCCATGCAGAATATCTTAGGTAATGTTGTATTGAATTTTTCAGTAAGGATGAAAGGCAACATTCTCAATGTCCTTAACAAATAACAGGTAAGACTCCAAAGATGATGAAACTTCATTGAAAAATATTTGAGTGTTGTGTGAGTACATGTACAGATTCTTATGTGAGTACATATACAGAGAAGACTAACTCTCACGTCTCGATGTTATCTATACACAGAACAAAAGTAGGTAAATAATATTGGATTTTCCTCTATTATAAAAAGGTCTATGTTTGATTTGTTTATTCAGTGTAAAAATAGTAAAATTATATAAGAATATGAATTGACTGCTGTATTTTGAAGAGTAAACAAAACCTGGAACAAAAGGTACTATCCTGAGTTTATTATTACCTGACAAACAGAGATTCATTTGACAGATTCTAATCAAGATGGTCATCTCCTCCTGGCACTACTGCTGAGGCTGGAGGATGACATTTTATTAAATTCGTATGCTAGTGAATTGTCAGCACTTATTTTGCTTGTATGTTCTGCTGCTTTCAGCGTTATTGATCATGAAATTTTAATATAATGCTTGGAAACGTATGCCTGCATTTCAAGAACAGCCTCAGATTGATTTAGGACTTAGCTGCCCCCAAGAGAGTAGTCCACACTGGTTTGTGTGTAATTCTTCTTTTCATTTCTTCATTCATTTTTCTACCTCTTCTTATCCTCCTGACCTAATTCTTCCTTCCCCTATTCTCCTAGAAACAAAGTATGTTTGTGAACAAAAGAAAGACTCCAAATATGATTTGGTTTAATTTGTAATATCCATACTACTCTGGATACTCATATCTGAGAAAGTTTGTATAACTGAACCATTTATGGTAACTCATTAGCATTTGCCTATATTTAAACATTAGCACAACATGCTACTTTTCCTGCAGTATACATAAATTTGTAACACTGGTTATGATAAAATTTCTTGTAATTTAGCTCACACAAACAATAAAAATGTTCTATTAACTCATATAAGTGACTTCCTAATTAAGTCATTTTATTTAATTTTGACAAAAATGGCATTTGATTAAATTCCATTTTTATGGTTTTAGAATTCAGATTCTTAGTGGCCTTTTGAATGATATCTTTTCCTTAGGCAGTTTGAAGTCATTTTTTCCCCTCCACTCTCTCCACATTGATGCTGGCAGAAGAGGACCATTGCTTGTCTTTACTTGTGTTGCTCTTATAATATGATTGCAAGTCTGTTCAGTACATCGATTTTTTTTCCCCAACAGCTTGATTACTGCAATTCCCTGTTAGCTGGCCACTTTTCAACTACTATATCAAATTGCAATATGTACAAAGCCAGGCTATAAGACTGCTGGTCTGCAACCAGATAGTGAGAGAAAGCAGAATCAGTTTAATTCCTTTCCTCTAGTCCCTTGTAGCAGGGCTTTAACACAGGCTGTAATCTCTTTGAATTTAAGAACAGTTTTCGTGTCTAATATAGTTTGGATGTTTGCTCCCTCCAAATCTCAAGTTGAAATGTGATTCTCAATGTTGGAGTTGGGACTTGTTGAGAGGTGATTGGATTATGGGGGTGGATCCCTCATGAATGATTTAGCATCATCCTCTTGGTGATGAGTGAGTTCTCCCTCAATTAGTTCGCATGAGATTGATTGTTTAAAAGAGGCTGGGGCCTCCCCCTTCTCTCTCTCTTTCTCCTCTGGCCATGTGATGTGCTGGCTCCCCTTTGTCTTCTGCCATGATTGTAAACTTCCTGAGGCCTCCCCAGGAGCAGAGGCTATGTTTCTCTCACAGCCTGCAGAACTGCGAGCCAAAAAAAAAAAAAAAAGCCACCTTTTTTTCTTTATATATTACTCAGCCTCAGGTATTCATCTAGAACAATGCAAAGGGACTAACAGAATGTCTTTATGGTAAAAAGTTTTAAAGACCATATCATAGTAGCATTGATGTAACCTGCAACACTCACAAACACACAAAATCTATCCTTTCTGTAAGTTAGCTATGAGGGTTCTAGTGATTAGATTTAATTTTAATAAGCATAAAGATGGTGAAATGACTTACCGTTGCACTGTGAATGTG
Source organism: Homo sapiens (assembly GCF_000001405.40). Taxonomy (NCBI): domain Eukaryota; kingdom Metazoa; phylum Chordata; class Mammalia; order Primates; family Hominidae; genus Homo; species Homo sapiens. The sequence continues at coordinate 157,564 of NW_013171800.1, read as the reverse complement.
CCACATAAGAGGAGCTGCTCCAAGTGAATAGCATGTGTCAGGAGCATTGGTGTGTCCAACAAATCACCTTCCATTTAACACAATCAATGAATAAATGAATGAAAGGAATGAATTGAAAGAGTAACATGTATGGGAGAAAATTGAGATCTATTCCAAAAGAAATTCCAGAATCTGGTTTTGAAATATTGGTCTCAGAATAATAGAAAAAGTCTACTTGTATACATTTATTACATGTATACATATAACTTTAAAAGATCACTTTTAAAGATAAATTGTGTTAAATATTAAAATAACAATTAAAAGAGAAACATATTTTAAATTACTTCTGTTTAATAAGCAAGGTGATTAATATCATTACCACATACAGAAATATCATTAAAAATTTGGAGGAGAACATAAGTTTACTATTGGATAACTTAGTAAAGAAAACATTCAAGAGGTCTTGTCATTCCTAAAGAAAAACGTATCTCTTTCTTGGAAAAATACACAAGGTTGGAAACTTTGAGATATATCTTTCACCTAGGAAATGAACATACTTAAAACATATGAAACATGGTAATTACTAGGTTAATATTAGAATATTAACCTATTTTATTACTTTTATCCCAGCAAGCACTGAATGTTTATATAACCTGTAGCATTTGTACCATTTACTTTTCTGAACATAGTATCTGTCTAAACAGTTCTGAATTCTGAAACAATTATGAGGCTAAAGGTTTTGAATACAGAATTGAGTATTGCTAGTGGAATTATACGTTGATATTTGTTTGTTTTTTCATACATTAATTCACTTATTCAAAAAATATGTATTTTATACCAAATATTTTTTATTTAATTTTTAATTTTAGTGGGTATGTAGTGGGTGTATATGTTTGAGGGGTACATGTGATGTTTTGTTACAGGTATACAATGTGTAATGATTACACCAAGCATTACCTTAAGCATTTATCATTTCTTTGTGTTATAATAGAATCATTCCAACTCCACTCTTTTTGTTATTTTAAAATACACAATAAAGTACTGTTGGCTATAGTAACCCTATTGTTCTATCAAATACTAGATCTTATTGATTCTATCTAAACATATTTTTGTAACCATAAACCATCCTCACTCTCCGTGCCCCCTAACTACCCTTCCCCGCTTCTGGTAATCATCATTACACTCTATCTCTATGACTTCAATTTTTTTCATTTTTAAGTACCCACGTATGAATCAGAACATGGAAAATTTGTCTTTCTGTGCCTGGCTTATTTCACTTCACAGTTCTATCCATGTTGCTGCAAATGACAAGGTTTCCTTCTTTTCTATTGCTGAATAATATTCTATTGTGTTTACATACCACATTGCTTTATCTACTCTTGGTTGAGAAATACCTAGGTTGATTCCAAATCTTTTCTAGAGTGAATCATGCTGCAAAAATAACAGGAGTGCAAATATCTCTTTGATACACTGATTTCCTTTCTTTGGGGTATATCTAGCAGTGGAATTACTGGATCATATGGTAGTTCCATTTTTATTTTTTTGAGAAACATCCATACTCTTCTGCATAGTGATTGTACTAATTTACATTTCCACCAACAGTGTATAAGGGTTCCCCTTTCTCTACATCCTCACCAGCATTCATTATTGCTGTTCTTTTGGATGCAAGCCCTTTTAACTTGGGTGAGATGATGTCTCATTGTAGTTTTGATTGGCATTTATCTGATGATTAATGATAGTAAGCACTTTCCCAAATACCTGTTGGCCATTTGCATGTCTTGTTTTTTAAAATGTCCTTTCAGATTATTTGCCTATTTAAAAAATGCATTATTAGATTTTTTTCCTATTGATTTTTTAAATGTTTTAATATATTCTGGTTATTAATCCCTTGTCAGATAGAGGGTTCGCAATGGTTTTCTCCAATTCTGCAGGTTGTTTCTTAACTTTATTGATTATTTATTTTGCTGAGCAGAAGCTTTTTAATTTGATGTGATCTCATTTGTCCATTTTTGCTTTGGTTGCTTGTGTTCTTGGAGTATTACTCAAGAAACATTTGCCCAGGCCTTGGTGCAGTGTCTCACACCAGTCATCCCAGCACTTAGTGAGCCCAAGACAGGAGAATTGCTTGAGGCAAGGAGTTTGAGACCATCCTGGGCAACACAGTGAGACCTCATCTATACAATTTTTTTTTTTAATTAGCTAGGTGTGGTGGCATGCTCCTATAGTCCTAGATACTTGGGAAGCTGAGGCAGGAGAATCACTTGTGTCCAGGAGTTTGAGGATGCAATGAGCTATGATGGCACCGCTGCAATCCAGCCTGAGCAACAGAGAGACACTCTGTCTCTATTAGAAATAATAATAATAATTTAAATGAAGAAATAAATAAGTAAAATTAATCTTTTCTTGGACCCATGACATGAAGAGTTTCCCCAGTATATTCTTTTAGTAATTTCATAGTTTCAGGTTTTAGATATAAGTCTCTAATCCATTTTGATTTGATTTTTTGTAAGATGACAGGAGACAAATGTCTAGTTTAATTCTTCTGCATATGGATATCCAGTTTTCCCAGCACTAATTATTGAAGAGACTATCCTTTCTCCCATTTATGTTCTTGGCACTGTTGTCAAAATGAGTTCCCCATAGGTGTATGGACTTATTTCTGGCTTCAATTTTCTGTTCCATTTGTCTATATGTCTGTTTTCATGCCAGTACCATGCTGTTTTGTTTATCATAACTCTATCATACAATTGGAAGTCAGATAATGTGATTCCTCCAGTTTTGCTGTTTTTGCTCAGGAACACTTTGGCTATTCTGAGTCTTTTGTAGTTCTATATAAATTTTAGATTTTTTTTTATTTCTCTGAAGAATATCTTTGGCATTTTCGTAGGGATTACATTGAATCTGTAGATTACTTTGGGTACTTACGGATATTTTAACACTATTGATTCTTCCAATTCATGAACATGGAAAGCCTTTTGACTTCTTGTGTCTTCTTCAATTTCTTTCAGTGTTATGCAGTTTTCATTATAGAAATCTTTCACATCTTTGGTTAAGTTAATTCCTAGCTATTTTATCTGTGTCTCTTGTCAATGGGATAACTTTTAAGTTTCTTTTTCAAATTGTTCACTGTTGGTATACAGAAATGTTACTGAGTTTTATGTTGATTTTGTGCCCTGTAACTTTACTGAATTTACAGAAATGCATTTAACTATGGCAAGTACTAGATAGAGGAAAACAATGTGAGGTTTACAAAGTCTTTAATCTAGCCTGTGGGACAAGGGATAATGAGGAGGTACTATGCAAGTAGGAAAAACTGCATAGAAGAATTGAAATCCAAACTGAGTCTAATGCACAAATTAGATTTGGTGAGAGAAAATATAGAGTGTGGAGAGTCCACCAGCAAGGCTTGATCTAAGATTTCTAGCAAGACATGAATCTGATTGGAAAATGGCAAGGTGTAAGCCAAAGCTAGGAATCTTTGATTTATTAATGTGATTCCAGGAAGCTAATATAGGATTTTATGTAAAAGCTGACATAATGTTGATTGTTTCAGTGATATTAGAATTTTTTCATTAAATAATTTATTAAAAGGAGATAATCCCAATAGGTGACAGGAGACTGGTTAGTAGATTATTGTAATAATGAAGATAAAAAAGATGAAGCCTTATCTAAGATACTGGATTTTGAAATTATACTTCGTTATGAACTTTTCAAATACCTATATTTTTTACAATTGTTTAAGATGATGTTAACTTTTGATTATAAGTTTAAATCTATGCAACAGCTGTTGCTGGTCTATATCTACATCTCTATATAATATATATATATATCTATGACAACAAAGAAAGGGCCCAAAGTCATCAAAGGCTGGTAATTTATTGCCTTTTAAATTATTTTAGCTAAAAAGGAGAATAATAATAAGGTATCAAATCTTTACATTTTTACTCTATACTCAATTGTTTTTCTCTTTATGAGTAGGTCAGCCACCATGCCATAACATGGTTTCCTTCAGTGTTGCTATATGTGGTTTGAGGTTACACACTGTAAGCTCCATAAGAGTTTCATCTGTTTTGTTCAAGTAAAACTTCTCATATTAGTTCCTATTACACAATACATGTTAAAATATATTGTTGAATGCATACATGAATACTAGAAGTAAAGAACCAAGACAGGAAGAACTGCTTTTTTTGTAGGACTGTGTTTCCTATTGTTGCGTATCCAGATTGTAATCCAAATCCAAATGATAAATAACTTTATGAATTAATCAGTTATTTTTTCTTATTCCTCTACTCTATTACTGGAGTGGAAAACTCAGTCATCAATATTACACTTAATCATATGTATGAATTACCCCTCCCAGGCTGTCATATGTATGTGATTTGCTTAGGTTGAAAATCAACAGGACGAATCTATCAAGTTACTGTTTTTTTCTTTTTTTTTTCCTTTTGTTTTAAGATGGAGTCTCCCTCTGTCAACCAGGCTGGAGTGCAGTGCCACACAATCTCAGTTCACTGCAACCTCCACCTCACGGGTTCAAGTGATTTTCCCGCCACAACCTCTCAAGTAGCTGGGATTACTGGCGCCTACCACCACGTCTGGCTAATTTTTGTATTTTTAGTAGAGATGGGGTCTCATCATGTTGGCCAGGCTGGTCTTGAGCTCCTAACCTCAGGGGATCCACCTGCCTCAGCCTCCAAAAGTAATGGGATTACAGGTGTGAGCCACTGCACCTGACCAAGTTATTGTTCTTTCCAAGACTCTATTTCTGGTTTCAGATCTTGTGAAACATGAAAAAAAATTAAATCTAAAGTGATAGGCCATCATTTATTTAGTGTGGCATTGAATGAGACCCTAAGAACACATTCTTCGTTTTATTCGGGACAGGGTCATTGTGCACGCAAAATAGTAATCTCTGTACACCAAGAAACAGAAAATCAAAAACATATCTACCATCCTTTTTCTACACCATTCTGCCCCTATGATAAAGTACTTATTAATAAAATAATAGTTACCATGAAATGAGTGCTGTGTGTTAGGTATGGTACATACATTATTTCACGAGTTCCCCAAAAATTGTCTGTAAAGTAAATGTTACAGATGTCATTTTATAGGCCAGGAGATGAAGCTTAGTGAATGAGATAATTCATTTTAGATCTCAACCTTGGTAAATGGCAGAGATACAATTCCAGGATTGTCTGACTTTAATGTCATCCTTTCACCACTGAAGAACAATATATGCTATTTCCAGAAACATCCCCTGAGATATACTTTAAGTGCTACATGTCTTTCATATCTCTATAATGCCAAATATGTTTTTGATATATTACACATTATGTAAAGTATTGTATGGAAAGCATACAGTAACAATTTAAATCATTTTTGTCAGTTCACATACTGCCATTCTTATAAAGACTTGAAACAAATTCTGTGAAAGGAAGAATTAGTTTTGATTTGACATATAACATCATTAAAAATTAGTAAATTTTATACAGATGGTAAGAACTTTTACAAATACAGGTTATAGAAACAGGCACATCTCAAGTATTTTTCAAAAATTTTGTGACTAATGAAGTAAGCAAATAAGCAAATTATATTGTGCAAGATTTTCATTAATCCCTTTGAATCTATTATTTCACTTAATTCTCAAATATTTTAGTCTGAGCTTGATTTTCTCTTTCTAGATAATCTTTATTCATGTATCAAATCAGAATTGCCTTACTTCCCGACAACATTCAATTCTAAGCATAGCCCTGTTTTCTTAAATCTTCCCCAAATCCCTTAACATAAACCAAATCCTATACCCTCTTACTGGCATACACCTGAGTTCACCATGATGTGCATTATTCCTCACTGCAATTAGTGTAAATCCAGGCTTTTCAACTACAGATATATCCCCAGTGGTCTTTGGTCATTGATTTATGTAAAAAGTCAATCAAATATGATTGTTTTTAACTTGATACTAAATAACCAGCTTGATAGTTCTATTTTGTTGGTTTTTGACTCCTGTCATAATTTGTTTAGCCCTGTGAATATTCACTTTTTCGTTACAATAACCCTAGTTAGTAACTATTTTTCTTCCTCCTGCTTCTCTTCTTTGAAATTTTCTTTTCAGAAATGGCAATAAAGTTTGTGTGTTAACTACGTGATTATTTCATAAAATATGTGTTTTAGTAATAAAATCCAATCCAATGTCATTTAACAAAATGTTTTATTAGCCAAAGCCCATCTAAGCTATTCTTTGATCAACTGTTTTCATCATCACTTTTGTAAATATTTTGAAAGAAAATAAGGCAGCTGAAGATAAAAGCCAGAGGCAGGGAATGTAGTGCTGATTTTGGGTTAATGGTGTCCTCAAGAGTTCCAGAAAGTGATTTTAAAATCCTGAGAACGAAAGGTTGGTGAGTCAGGTAGTGCCACACAAACCATTTTGTCCATGCTTTCTGACCCTACATGATTAGGGGTCATTCTCACATTTGTAATAAATCATATAGATTAATTTGACACAACACCCAGTATCTTTTATCTTCCTATGCACAGAGCTCCATTAATTGAAAAAAAAAAAGTCAGAAAAAGCCCAGTAAGCAAAATAAAAACACCTTTTTTCAAAGGTGATTATTCTTATTATGATCTTTCAAATTTCAGAATAAGAATGAGAAAATCATTTATCTGAAATGCTGTTTATACCAAAATGAATTTGACTCAGGGCTATTTCTAAGAAGGGGCCTTTCTGCAACATTCTGGCACCTCTTAAAGCAATAAGAAAAGCCACCTTTATTTCTTGGCCAGTGGCAATATTTGGAGGGTGAGTTAATTTTCTTTAATTTTTCTTATAATTCTGCTTTGCCTACATCTCAGACCAAAAGCCGATTATATTTTCATCAACAATGGATCTAGAAGAAAAAGTAAAGTATTTTATGTCTGCAGTTTTCTTTTATATTCATATATTTAAAGTTTAATTTTGAAATTTATTTAACTCAAAGTAATTGGATATTAAAGAACTATGCCAGCTATAAATTATTCTAACTGTAAATTATTTAAACAAATAATAAAAGAAAAGCTTTGTTTCATTTTCTTCATTATTACTCTATGATTGACTACTAAACCAACTTTTAAATATTTAAAATTAATTACAAGCTTTATCAACAAGTTCCTCTTATTTTCCATCCTACTGTCAGTCTTTTAAACAATAATTGTAGCTTTTTCAAAAGGTAATGTTTAAGAGAAGCAAGAAACACAAACTTGCAAATAGCTTTTCAGTAGTAATATTAAATGGTTAGGTTTACGAGAAATTTGAAATCAATGGCAAAAACAAACAGATGATAACATATAAAGAAGTCTAAACTCTATCTAAACACAGAGTAAAGTGTAATAATTTTACCACCTTATTTATCAAATTCTTACACCAACACTCCATTCTCAACATTGGACAGATCTAGATAAAAAATCAATAAACGACTATTGTAAACTGCACTATAGACCAGATGAAATTAACAGACATTTACAAGACATTTCATCCAGCAGCAAGAGAATATACATTCTTTTCATCACCACATGAAATCATCTCCAGACTAGACTATATGTTAGACAACAAAACATGTCTTTACAAATTTTTAAAAATCAAAATTGTATCAAGTGTCTTTTCAGACTATGAAGAAATAAAACTAGAAATTAATAACAAGAATTTTGGAAACTGTATAAATACAAAACACACGGAAATTAAACATTCTCCAGGATGACCAATGGGTCAATGGAGAAATTAAGAAAGAAATTTAAAAATTTCTTAAGACAAATGAAAATAGAAATTTAACCTATCAAAACCTATGGGATACAGTAAAATCAGCACTAAGAGGGAATTTTACTCTAATATTACTCCATGTAACAAATAGTATAGCAATAATGTACCGATAAGTGCCTACATCAAAAATTAGAAAGATTTCAAATAAAGAACCTAACAATTCTTAAGGAACAAGAAAAGCTAGAGTGAACCAAACCCAAAATTAGCAGAAGAAGACAAATAACAAAAACCAGAACAGAAATAATTGAAAGAGAGATTTAAAAATATAAAAGATCAAAAAAATTAAAAAGTTGGTGATTTAAAATGATTAAATCAACAAATGATTAGCTAGACTAAGAAATAAAGAAAGGACTCAAATAACTAAAACTGAAACAAAAAGAGACTTTACAAGTGAAACCACAAAGATACAACAGATTATTAAAAACTAATATGAATGACTATAGGCCAACAAATAGGAAAACTAGAGAAAATGGATACATGCCTGGACACATACAACCTACCAAGATTGAATCAGGAAGAAACAGAAAAGTTGAAAAAAACAATAACAAGTAACAAAATTGAACTGGTAATAAAATGTTTACCTTTCAGTAGTTTTTTAACTTTTATTTTAGATTCAGGGGTACATTTGCAGATTTGTTATACAGGTAAATTGCATGTCTCAGGAATTTGGTGTGCAGATTAATTCATTAGCCGGGTAATATGCATAGTACCTGAAAGGTAGCTTTTCAATCCTCACACTCCTCTCATCTTCCACCATCAAATAGGACCTAGTGGCTATGATTCCCTTCTCTGTGTCCTTATGTACTCAACATTTCAGCTCCTACGTAAAAGTGAGAACATGTGGTATTATTTTTTCTGTTTCTGTTTTATTTTGCTTAAGATAATGGCCTCCAGTTCCTTCCATGTTGTTTCAAAAGACATAATGTCATTCTTATTTATGGCTGCAGAGCATTCCCTGGTGTATATGTACCACATTTTCTTTATCCAGTCTACCATTGAAGGGCATTTACGCTGATTCTATGTATTTGCCATTGTGAATACTGCCACAATGAACACATGCATGCCTATGTCTTTAAGGCACATTTTTTTTTTAAACTTTAAGTTCCGGGATACAAGTGCAGAACGTGTAGGTTTGTTACAAAGATATATGTGTGCCATGGTGGTTTGCTGCACCTATCAACCTGTCATCTAGGTTTTAAGCCCCACATCAATTAGCTATTTGTCCTAATGCTCTCCCTTTTCTCGGCCCGCACCCCCGAACTGGCCCCGGTGTGTGTGTTTTTCCCTTCCCTGTGTTCAGGTGTTCTCATTGTTTAACTCTCAGTTATGAGTAAGAACACGCAGTATTTGCTTTTCTGTTCCTGTGTTAGTTTGCTGAGGATGATGGCTTCCAGCTTCATCCATGTCCCTGAAAAGGAAATGATCTCATCCTCTTTATGGCTGCATAGTATTTCATGGTGTATATGTACCACATTTTCTTTACCCAGTCTATCATAGATGGGCATTTGGATTGGTTCCATGTCTTTCCTATTGTAAATAGTGCTGCAATAAACATACATACATGTGTGTCTCTAGAATAGAATGATTTATATTCCCTTGGGTATATACCTAGTAATAGGATTTCTGGGTCAAACAGTATTTCTGGTTCTAGATCCTTGAGGAATCGCCACACTGCCTTCCACAATGATTGAACTAATTTACATTCCTGCCAACAGGGTAAAAGCTTTCCTATTTCTCCACAGCCTCGCAAGCATCTAGTGTTTCTTAACTTCTTAATAATCACCATTCTGGCTGGCATGAGATGGTATCTCATTGTGGTTTTGATTTGCATTTTCTCATGATCAGTGATATGTTGAGCCTTTTTTCATATGTTTGTTGTTCGTTGCATAAATGTCTTCTTTTTAGAAGTGTCTGTTCATATCCTTTGCCCACCTTTTAATTGTTTGTTTGTTTCTTGTAAGTTTGTTTAAGTTCCTTGTAGATTCTGGATATTAGATCTTTGTCAGATGGGTAGATTGCAAAATTTTTCTCCCATTTTGTAGGTTGCCTGTTCATTCTGCTGATAGTTTCTTTTGCTGTGCAGAAGCTCTTTAATTAGATCCCATTTGTCAGTTTTGGTTTTTGTTGCAATTGCTTTTGACGTTTTCGTCATGAAGTATTTGCCCATGCATATGTCCTGAATGGTATTTCCTGGGTTTTCTTCTAGAGTTTTTATGGTTTTGGGTTTTACATTTAAGTCTTTACCCCATCTTGAGTTAACTTTTGCATAAGGTGTAAGGAAAGAGTCCAGTTTCAGTTTTTAGCATATTGCTAGCCAGTTTTCCCAGCACCATTTATTAAGTAGGTAATTATTTCCCCATTGCTTGTTTTTGTCCAGTTTGTTTAAGATCAGATGCCTGTAGATATGTGGTGTTATTTCTGAGGTTTCTATTCTTTTCCATTTGTCCATATGTCTGTTTTGGTGCCAGTACCATGCTGTTTTGGTTACTGTAGCCGTGTAGTATAATTTGAAGTCAGGTAGCATGATGCCTTCAGCTGTGTTTTTCTTGCTTAGGACTGTCTTGGCTATATGAGCTCTTTTTTTGGTTCTATATGAAATTGAAAGTAGTTCTTTTCTAATTCTGTGAATAATGTCAATAATGTTTGATGGGAATAGCATTGAATCTAAAAATTACTTCGGGCAGTATGGCCATTTTCACAATATTCAATCTTCCTATCCATGAGGATGGAATTTTTTTTCATTTGTTTATGTCCTCTCTTATTTCCTTGAGCAGTGGTTTGTAGTTCTCCTTGAAGAGATCCTCTGCATCCCTTGTTAGCTGTATTTCTAGGTATTTTATTATTTGTAGCAATTGTGAATGGGAGTTCATTCATGATTTGGATCATTGCTTGTCTATTGTTCATATACAGGAATGCTTATTTTCCTTTGGTTATATATCTGACAATGGATCACTGAGTCAAATGGCAATTCTGTTTTAAGTTCTTTGAGAAAATGCCAAACTACTTTCCACAAGGGCTGAACTAATTTACATTCCCACCAGCAATGCATAAGTAGACCTTTTATAACCTCTCCAGTATCTGTTTTTTTTTTTTTAATGGCCATTCTGAATGATGTGAGACAGTATCTCATTGTGGTTTTGATTTGCATGTTTCTAATGACTAGTGATGTTGACTATTTTTTCCTATGCTTCTTGGCCACATCTTTTTTTAAAAAAAGTGTCTATTCACGTCCTTTGCCCATTTTTTAAGGGAAGTGTTTGTTTTTCATAGATGCTGGATATTAAACTGATATGCTTTGGCTCTGTTCCCCCCACCCAAATCTCTCCTGGAATTGTAAGAGTCCCCACATGTCAAGGTCAGAACCTTGTGGAGATAATTGAATTGTGGGGGCGGTTTCCCCCATGCCATTCTCATGATAGTGAGATCTCACAAGATCAGATGGTTTTATAAGGGGCTTCTTTTTTCACTTGGCACACATTCTCCTTCCTACCACCCTGCAAAGAGGTGCCTTCCACCATTATTGTAAGTTTCCTAAGGCCTCCCCACAATGCGAAACAGTGAGTCAATTAAACCTCTTTATAAATTACCCAGTCTCAGATATGTCTTATTAGTAGTGTGAGAACAGACTCATACAATAAATTGGTGCTAGGAGAGTGGAGCACTGCTACAAGGAAACCCAAAAATGTGGAAGCAACTTTGGAACTGAGTAACAGACAGAGTTTGGAACAATTTAGAGGGCTCAGAAGAAGACAGGAAATTGTGGGAGAGTTTGGAACTTCCTAGATACTTGTTAAGTGGCTTTGACCAAAATGCGATAACAATATGAACAATGATGTCCAGGCTGAGGTGGTCTCAGATGGAGATGAGGAACTTGTTGGAAACTGGAGCAAAGGTGACTCTTCCTATGCTTTAAACAAAGAGACTGGTGGGATTTTGCCCCAGCCCTAGAGATCTGTGAAATAGTGAACTTGAGAGAGATGATTTAGGTTTTCTGGAAGAACAAATTTCTAAGTGCCAAAGCATTCCAGAGAAAGCACAGTATAAAAGTTTGGAAAATTTGTGCCTGACAATATGATACAAAAGAAAAACCCATTTTCTGGGAGAAATTCTGGCTCCTGAACAAATTTGCGTAAGTAACGAGGAGCTAAATGTTAATCGCCAAGATGACAAGAAAAATGTCTCCAGGGCATGTCAGAGACCTTCATGGCAGCCCCTTCCATCACAGGCCTGGAGTCTTAGGATGGAAAAGTGGTTTTGTGGGCTGGGCCCATGGCCCACCTGCTCTGTGCAGCCTTGGAACATAGTGCCCTGCATCCCAGATGCTTCAGCTCTAGCTGTGGCTAAATGGGGCCAATGTACATCTCTGGCTGTTGCTTCAGAGATTGCAAGTCCCAAGCCTTGGTGGCTTATATGTGTGTTAGGTCTGCAGGTGCACAATAGTCAAGAATGAGGTTGAGGAACCTCCACCTAGATTCCTGAGGATGTATGGAAACACCTGGTTGTACAGGCAGAAGTTTGCTGCAGTGATGAAGCCCTCATGGGGAACCTATGCTATGCCAGTGAGGAAGGGAATTGTGGGGTCAAAGCCCCCACACTGAGTTCCTGCTGGGGCACTGCCTAGTGGAACTGTGAAAAGAAGGCCACTGTCCTCCGGATCCCAGATGGTAGATATGACAGCTTGCAGCACAGAGCCTGAAAAAGCCACAGACACTCAATGCCAGTCATGAAAGCAGTCAGGAGAGGGGCTATAGACTGCAAAGCCGCAAGGGTGGAGCCACCCAAGGCCATGGGAGCCTACCCCTTGCATCAAGATTATCTACATGTGAGACATGGAGTCAAAGGAGATAATTTTGGTACTTTAAGGTTTAATGACTGCTTTACTGGACTTTGGACTTGCATGGGGCCCATGACCCCTTTGTTTTGGCTAATTTCTCCTATTTGGAATAAATGTATTTACCCAATGCCTCCACCCTCATTGTATCTAGGAAGTAACCGGCTTTTGATTTCACAGGCTCAGAGGTGGAAGGGATTTGCCGAATCTCAGATGAGACTCTGGACTTGAACTTTTGGGTTAATGAGTTAAGACTTTGGGGGATTATTGGAAGGGCAAGATGTGTTTTGAAATGTGAGGACATGAGATTTGGGAGGTGGCAGGGGCAGAATAATATGGTATTTCTTTGTGTCCCCACCCAAATCTTGCCTTCAATTGTAATAATCCCCACACGTCAAGGGCAGGACCAGTGGAGATAATTAAATAATGGGGGCCATTTCCCTCATGCTGTTCTCATGATAGTGAGTGAGTTCTCACAAGATCTGATGGCTTTATAAGGGGCTTCTCCCTTTGCTTGGCACTCATTCTCCCTTCTACCATCCTGTGAGGAGGTACCTTCCCCAAAGATTGTAAGTTTCCTGAGGCTTCCCCAGCAAGGTGGAACCATGAGTCAATTAAACCTCTTTTCTTTATAAATTATCCAGTCTTGCGTATATCTTTATTAGCAGCATTAGAGTGGATTAGTACATAGACCTTTGTCTGATGCATAGTTTGCAAATATATTCTCCCATTCTGTAGGTTGTCGTGTACTCAGTTGATAGTTTCACTTGCTGTGGAGAGGTTCTTTTGTTTAATTAGGTCTCATAGGTCAATTTTTGTTTTTGTTTCAATTTCTTTTGGCTTATTTGTTATGAAGTCTTTGCCAGGTCCTATGACCAGAATGATATTTTCTAGGTTATCTTCCAAGGTTTTTATAGTTTTTGGTTTAGATTGAAGTTTTTAATCAATATTGAGTTAATTTTTGTGTCTGGTGTAAGGAAACGGTCCAGTTTTTATCTTCCACATATGACTAGTCAGTTATGCCAACATTATTTATTGAATTGGGATTCCTTTCCTCATTGCTTGTTTTAGTTAATTTTCTTGAAGATCAGATGGCTGTAGGAGTATGGCATTATTTCTGGGCTCTCTATTCTGTTCCATTGATCTATGTGTCTGTTTTCATATCAGTACCATGATGTTTTGGTTACTGTGGCCATGTAGTATAATTTGAGGCTGGGTAGTGTGATGACTTCAGCATTGTTCTTTTTGCTTAGAATTGTTTTGGGTATTCAGATTGTTTTTGATTTCATATGAATTTTAAAATAGATTTTCTAAATCTATGAAAAATGCCACTGGTAGTATGATGGGATTAGCACTGAATATGTAAATTGCTTAGGCCTTGTGGCCATTTTCAACAATATTAATTTTTACTATCCATAAGCATAAAAAGTTTTTCAATTTGTTTTTGTCATCTCTTATTTCTTTAAGCAGTGTTTCATAATTCTCTTTACAGGGGTCTTTCACTCACTTGGTTAGCTCTATTCCTACATATTTTATTCTTTTTGTGGCTATTGTAAATGAGATTGTGTTTCTTATTTGCTCTCAGCTTGGATGTTGTTGATGTATAGGAATGCTACTGACTTCAGTACATTGATTTTGCGTCCTGAAGGTTTGTTGGAGTTGTGATACATCAAGGAGCTTTTGAGCAGGGACTATGCAGTTTTCTAGGTATAATCATATTGTCTGCAAATAACAATAGTTTGACTTTTTCTTTTGCTATTTGGATGCCTTTTATTTCTTTTTCTTGCCTGAACGACACACTTAAATAGGTAGACCCATGGCATTATAAAGCAACCACACAAACAAATCTGTATAATAACTAGCTAACAACATGATGACAGGATCATATGCATACATATCCATATGAACATTGAATGTAAATGGGCTAAATGCCCCAATCAAAAGGCAGAGGGTGTAAAGTTGAATAAACAAGCAAAACTCAATGGTATATTGTCTTCAAGAGACCCATCTGCCATGCATTGGCACCCATAGGCTCAAAGTAAAGGAATAGAGAAAAATCTACCGAACAATATAAAACAGAAAAAGCAGGGGTTGCTATTCTAATTTCAGACAAAACAGACTTTGAAACAACAAAGATCAAAAAAGACAAAGAAGGGCATTACATTATGGTAAAGAGTTCAATTCAACAAGAAGATTTAACTGTCCTGAATATATATGCACCCAACACAGGAGCACCTGGATTAATAAAGCAAGTTCTTAGAGACCTATGAAGATATTTAGATAACCACACAATAATATTGGGAGATTTTAACAACCTGTTGGCAGTAGTAGACAGATCATCAAGGCAGAAAACTAACAAAGATATTCAAAACCTTAACAATTGGGGAAATGGACCTAATAAACACTTACACAATTCTCCACCCCAAAACAACAGAATATATACTCTTCTCAGCGGCATATGACACATACTCGACAATCAATCACGCAATAGGACATAAAATAATCTTTAGCAAATTCAAGAAAAACTGAAATCATACCAACCACAGTCTCAGACCACAATGCAATAAAAACAGAAATCAAAGTTAAGAAAAAAAATACCATGAAATAGAAAAGAGCAACCTGCTTCTTAATGATTTCTGGATAAAATAATGAAATTAAGGCAGAAATTAATAAATTCTTTGAAATGATTGTGAAAAAAGATACAACATACCAGAATCTCTGGGACACAGCCAAATTATTATTATGAGAAAAATTTAGAGCATAGCATGCTCAAATAAAAAAGTTAGAAAGATCTCAAATTAACAACCTAACTTTACAACTAAAGGAACTAGACGAACAAGAGCAAATTAATCCCAAAGCTAACAGAATACAAGAAATAATCCAAATCCTAGGTGAACTGAAAGAATTTGAGACACAAAAAATTATACAAAAGATCATTGAGCTTAGTAGATAGTCCTTTGAAAGAGTTAATATGATAGATATACTACCAGCTAGACGCATAAATAAAAAATTTGAGAAAATCCAAGTAAACACATTCAGAAATGACAAAGGGGACATTTGTCCCCACTGACCCCACAGTAATACAAAAAGAAAAACCCAGAGACTATTATGAACAGCTCTTTACATAAAAGATATGAGAGCTATAAAAAAAACAGATAAATTCCTGGAAACATAAGTCCTCCCAGGATTCAACCAGGAAGAGATTGAATCCCTGAACAGATCAATAAGGATTTCTGAAATTGAATCAGTAATAAAACGCCTGCCAATCAGAAAAAGCCCAGGATCAGATGGATTCACAACAAAATTCTACCAGATGTGTAAGGGAGAGCTGGTACCATTTCTATGGAAACTATTGCAAAAAATTGAGGAGGAGGAAGTCTTTCCTAACTCATTCTATGAGGCCAGTGTCATTGTGGTGTGAAACCTGGCAGAGATATAATAAAAAGAAGAAAAAAAAGAAAAAAACTTCAGGACAATATCCTTCATGAACATTGATGCAAAAATCCTCAACAAAATACTAACAAACTAAATCCAGCAGCAAATCAAAAAGCTTATCCACCACAATCATGTGGGCATCATTCATGGAATGCAAGGATGATTCAACATGTGCGAATCAATTAATGTTATTCACCACATAAACAGAACTGAAAACAAAAACCACATGACGATCTTAATAGATGCAAAAAGGACTTTCGATAAAATTCAACATCTCTTCATGTTAAAACCCCTCCAAAAACAAAACACTGAAGGAACATACTTCAAAATAATAAGAGTCATCTACTAAAAACCCACAGCCATCATCATACTGAATGAGCAAACCTAGAAGCATTCCCTTTCAGTAAATTTTTCAGTTCTCAACACTGTATTGTCAAATACAGGCACTATGTTGTACAACAGATAACTAAAATGTATTTATTCCATATAACTGTAAAATCATTAAATAATAACTTTCCATTCACCTTCCCTAAATTTCTGACAACCACCATTCTACTTCTTCTAATATTAGTTTGACTACGTTAGATACCTCATAAAAGTGAAATCTTGCAGTATTTTTCACTCTGTGACAGAATTATTTCACTTAACATAACATCTTCCCAGACTCTCCATGATGGCAATCATTTTTGTTCTTTTTAAAGATGAAATATATTCCCTTGTATGTATCAACCACATTTTCTTTATTAAATAGTCCGTTGATTGACATTTTATTTGTTTCCATATTTTGACTATGGTGAATAATGCTACAGTGAACATGAGAGTGTGGCTATTTCTTTACATAATGATTTCATTTGTTTTGGATATATAGTGAGGAGTGCAATTGCTGGATCATATGGTAGTTCTACCTTTGATTTTTTGAGAAACCTTCATACTGTTTTTCATAGTAAATCTTCCTATAATAAACACAGAGTATGTATACGTAAGGTATCTGGTGTAACATGGAACCTAGAGGAGGCACTATGGTTGCAAATCATTTAAGTTAAACTCATGGAGAAATTGGCTTTATCATGTCCTGATATTCGATTCCACTAAAGCAATGAAGTTATCTGTAAATTGAAATACTCTGTTCTCCCCGGACAATTGATGTCTTAAAGGACAATGGAAACAAAGATGGCTTAAGAAAAAATGATGGCATTTTATATTAGGATAAATCTATGTTTAAACAAAAAAAACCTAAAATGAGTAGATTTGTATTATTAGAAGCTATACGATCACAAAATAAAGTTCAAAAATAAATAAAATATCCAATAAATTTAGAGAACTCATTGTTATTCCTGGTCTTAGGCCAACTTAAAAAAACGGCTATTTAAACAAATTAGTGCTCCATAATTTCAAGGGTTTGTAGATCTCAGGCTGCCAGCAAAACTGCAGTGATAACTAACTATGGGCAGTAGTACCGTAGTCACTACTGAAAAAAGTTTGTTGACATCACAAACTCTGTAACTATTGAGATGATTTCAGATAGTTTCTGGAGTAAAAAAAAGTGATGAAATCCAAATGTAATTGAAAGTAGTCCTAATGGTTACTGAGTTGCATAGTTATATAAAAGATGAAAGAGCCAACTAAGAAAGATGTTTGTTTTCATGTTGTACATCCTCTTTTTAGATCTAATGCCAATATGCTGAATGAGTTTGCAAACAATGAGCTTCAGTGCAACATGAATTTTTGAACTGGAAAAATCAACACAATGCTATTACTTCTCAATGTCAGCAGGTTAATAGAAGAAATGCAGAATAAAAATGGTTATACATGCAAATATTCACGTAACATATCAACCTAAATTTTGGTCATAAGAAAATCCATTTCAAAAGTAAAGGTAGCTTATACTTAACCTATCTGAAGCTATAGTGAACTTTGAATTTAATGTTAGGTTCTAATTTTCTTAAGTAGAAAAAGTTCTATATAAAGTCAATTTTAGCTTTATCATAAAATGCTTTTATTATGTAGTCCTAGGCCAACCAGGAGACAGGGGCTAATTTGCTGATATATTTTACTGAATGCACTAAGAATAATAAGTGCCCACCAGGAGTTTTTAAATCCACTTAGAGCCTCTTCATCAAAGACAGAAGAGTAGAAGTTAAGTATTCTCAGACATAACGACTTCCTAAATAAACCTTGCACTAATTAGGTACCCATGATAAAAAAAAAAACACTTCATTGGGCAGTAAGAGAGGCAGAGGCAGGAAGTGCTTGTAAAATTGTCCTGAATTTTAACCAATGTTTTGTAAAAAAAAAATTAATTTTCACCAGGGTATATTTTTCTGTTAATGTTGAATCCTTCAATTCACACATTTAAAATGTGACTCTTTTAATACATTTACATACTACCATCTGATAAAAATAATTTATTTTATGATGTGCTTAGTAAAAGATTTGTGCTAAATAAAAACATTTTGTAAAATAAGTGCAGCATTCTTTGACCGATAATAATTTTGACAAAAAGAAAAATATAACAGTTTAAGAAATTTTTTTTAAAAGCCTTTTTTGTTGTTGCACAATCTTTTCAATTTCCCCTAAACTCACACTATGTTGATATAGATACTATGTTCTTAACTTTAATTCAAGTTTAGCTTTAGAGAAAAAGACATTTATTTCCCACAAGTGGATAAAAAATCTCAAGGCAATTAACAAGTAATGGAAACAAAATGTCAGAATCAGAGAGTATGTTTAATAATCTACAGAGAAACCCACATTTCATGCAGTAGATCAGAAGAAAATATTTAACATCAACTCCAGGATTTAATATTTAGAGTGCTGAACTTAGAAGATGATTAAATGGTGAACCTAAGCAACTCTTATGCCAAGGTCAGGTCTCTAACTTGGAAAACCTGAGCTCCTTGAATAGGAATTACTTTCTGAATGAACCCAAAGATTTTGGTTTCATGAACTTTCACTCCACCCCATAAAAGCTAGTACCCTTCTCTGTGGAAAATAATACAGATATTGTTTCACAGTGAGGCAACAAGGTTCCCCTCTCATGAGCAAATCCCACCACCTCTTCTAAACAGCAAGCTGATAACTCAATTCACATTTGAAAAAATCGGGGTGGGGGCAGGGCAAGATGCCTGACTAGAAGCCTTGGTGTTCAAAGGCTCTCATCGAAAAAATACATAATAAGAGTGTGAATTCTTCACCAGCAGCCAAGGTATCCAGGTTCTCTCATCAAAATTTACTAGAAGGCTGGCTTGACCCATGGAGAGAAGGAACAGCAGTGTGGTGCAGTGGTCCACCCGAGAGCCATGCAGGGAAGGGAAACTCCCTCCCTGGGCCAAGGGAGGCAGTGAGTGAGAGCACTACCCAGCCAGGGAAACTGTGCTTTTTCCATGGAACTGTGCAACTCATGGACCAGAAGATCTCACTCGTGAACCTATGCCACTGGGGCTTCTGTCCCAACTCCTGAACACAGAGATTCTTACAGCCTTTCAGCTGGAATCTGCTTAAGCCTACTGAATTCCTAGGGGGAGGGCTGACCAGCACCTGCTGATGCTGCCTGCAGTCTAAGCCATTTGAACTCCTTGGGGGAAAGGCAGCAGCCAGCAGTGGGACTCACAACTGCCTAATACACCAAACTCCCTGGGCTGGGGAAGGGCAGCAACCATTTCTATAGCTCCAGTCTGTGCTTTTCCCCTGCTGGAGCCAGGGAGACTGGATGGCTTGGTCCCAAGACTTGTCCCAACAGCCCAACACACAGGCTGTGGCAGTCTGGAGCCAAAGTGCCTCTTCAGGTCTAACCCGGACCCATCCTTCCTCAATGGGTGGGGCTTCCCTGCAGGATCTCCAGTAACTCCAACCAGAGGCTCAGGAACAGAATTTGGATATCCCTGGGACTGAGCCCCTAGGGAGAGGGGTGGTGGCAGTCTCTGCAGACCAGCTGACTTTGCCTCTCCTTCTGGTAGTTCTGAGGAATCCAGGCAGCCCAGATGGGTCCCCAGTGAAACACACCCTCTCCGCTAAGGGACAAAGTGCTTTGGGAAACAGGTCCTGTTCACCATGCCATCCAACTGGGTGAGACCCTCCAACAGGGGTTGTCAAATATCCTATAAAGGAATGATCCTACTGACATCAGTTTGGTGCCCTTTGAGGTCAGAGGTCCTAGAAGAAGAAGCAGGGACCCATCTTTGCTGCTCTCCAACCTCCTTGAATGACATCTCCAGGCACGGGAGTGAATTAAATGAATAGGGACTGAAGTGAACCCTCAGCAAACTGGCACCACCCTACAGAAGGGGGACCAGATTATTGAAAGAGAAACAAACAAGCAAAAAGCAAAAACAATGGCATCAACAACAAAAAGACCCCCACCAAAACCCCAGCCAAGGGTCAGAAGTCTCAAAGACTGAAACTAGACAAACTCACAAAGATGAGAAAGAATCAACAACAAAAAAAATGCAGAAAACCCAAAAGGCCAGAGTGCCTCTTCTCCTCCAAATGATCATAAAGTCTCCCCATTAGGGGCCCAGAACTGGACAGAGGATAAGATGAACTAACTGACAGGAGTGGAGTTCAGAAGATTATTGGGGGAACCTGCCCCCAGTATTTCAACATAGGTTCTTTCAATTTTCCATAAGTGTTGGCCGGCTGAGAAATAAAGAGACAGTACAAAGAGAGGAATTTTATAGCTGGGCCACCAGGGGTGACATCACATATCAGTAGGACCGTGATGCCTGCCTGAGTCTCAGACCAGCAAGTTTTTATTCAGGGTTTCAAAAGGGGAGGGGGTGTAAGAACAGGGAGTAGGTACAAAGATCCCATATTTCAAAGGGCAAAAAGCAGAACTACTAATAAGGGTCTCACAAAGATCACATGTTTCTGAGGGAACAGGACAAAGGACAAAAGCAGAACTACTGATATGGGTCCAAAAAGATCACAAGGCAAAGGGCAAAAGCAGAACCACTGAAAAAGGTCTATGTTTCACTGCTATGTTCAGCAGTGAAAAAGGTCTTGATAAACATCTTAAACAACAGAAAACAGGGTTCAAGAGTAGAGAACCAGTCAGACCACAAATTTACCAGGGCAGAGTTTTTCCCCACCCTAGTAAACCTGAGGGTACTGCAGGAGACCAGGGTGTATCTCAGTCCTTATCTCAACTACATAAGACTGACATTCCCAGAGTGGCCATTTATAGACCTCCCCCCAGGGAATGCGTTCCTTCCCCAGCATATTAATATTAATATTCCTTGCTAGGAAAAGAATTTAGTGATATCTTCCCTACTTGCACGTCTGTTTATAGACTCTCTGCAAGAAGAAAAATATGGCTCTTTTTGCTCGACCCTGCAGGCAGTCAGACCTTATGGTTGTCTTCCCTTGTTTCCTAAAAATTGGTGTTATTCTGTTCTTTTTCAAGGTGCACTGATTTCATATTGTTCAAACACACATGTTTTACTATCAATTTGTACAGTTAACACAATTATCACTGTGTCCTGAGGTGACATACATCCTCTGCTTACGAAGATAACAGGATTAAGAGATTAAAGTAAAGACAGGCATAAGAAATTATAAAAGTATTATTTGGGAACTGATAAATGTCCTTGAAATCTTCACAATTTATGTTCCTCTGCTGTGGCTCCAGCCAGTCCCTCCGTTCAGGGTCCCTGACTTCCCGCAACAGAAGATGGGTTAAAAAAAATATGTTGAGCTAAAGGAGCATGTTCTAACCCAATGCAAAGAAGCTAAGAACCTTGATAAAAGGTTAGAGGAATTGCTAACTAGAATAACCAGTTTAGAGGGGAACATAAACAACCTGATGAAGCTGAAAAACACAGATGAGAACTTTGTGAAGCATACAGAAGTAACAACAGCTGAGTTGACCAGGCAGAAGAAAGTATATCGGAGTTTGAAGACCACCTTACTGAAATAAGACATGCAGACAAGAATAGAGAAAAAAGAAGGAAAAGGAAAGGAAAGAACAAAGCCTCCAAGAAATATGGGACTTCATAAAAAGACTGAACCTACAATTGATTGAAGTAACAAAAGGAAATGGGGAGAATGGAAACAAGCTGAAAAACACACAGCAGGGATTGCAATCCTAGTCTCTGACAAAACAGAATTTAAACCAACAAAGATCAAACAGACAAAGAAGGGCATTACATAATGGTGAAGGGGACAATTGAACAAGAAGAGCTAACTATTCTAAATGTATATGCACCCAACACAGGAGCACCCAGATTCATAAAACAAGTTCTTAGAGGCCTACAAAGAGACTTAGGCTCCCACCCAATGTCAGTATTAGACAGATCAACGAGACAGAAAATTAACAAGGATATTTAGGACTTGAACTCAGCTCTGGATCAAGTGGACCTAGCAGACTTCTACAGAACTCTGTACCCCAAATCAACAGAATATACATTCTTCTCAGTGCCACATGACACTTATTCTAAAATCAAACACAAAATTAGAAGTAAAAAAATGTTCAGCAAATGCAAAAACCTGAAACCATAACAGTCTCTCAGACAACAGTGCAATCAAATTAGAACTCAGGATTAAGAAACTCACTCAAAACCACATAATTTTATGAAAATTGAAAAACCTGCTGCTGGATGACTCCTGGGTAAATAATGAAATAAAGGCAGAAATCAAGAAGTTCTTTGAAACCAATGAGAACAAAGAGACAATGTACCAGATTCTCTGGGACACAGCTAAAGCAGTTTTAAGAGGAAAATTTATAGCACTAGATTCCCAAATCAGAAAGCTAGAAAAATCTCAAATCAACACCCTAATATAAGAATTAAAAGAACTAGAGAAGCAAGAGGAAACAAATCAAAAAGCTAGCAGAAGACAAGAAATAGCTAAGATCAGAGAATAATTGAAAGAGATAGGGACACAAAAAATCAACAAATCCAGGAGGTAGTTTTTTGAAAAAAATTAACAAAATAGATAGACTGCTAGCTAGACTAATAACGGAGAGAGAAGAATCAAATAAACAAAATAAAAAATGTTAAAGGGGATATCACCACTGACCTCACAGAAATACAAACTATCGTCAGAGAATACTATAAATACCTGTATTCAAATAAACTAGAAAATCTAGAAGAAATGGATAAATTCCTGGACGCATACACCCTACCAAAACTAAACCAGGAAGAAGTTGAATCCCTGAATAGACCAATAACAAGTGCTGAAATTGAGGCAGAATTAATAGCCTAGCAACCAAAAAAAGCCTAGGAACTACCTGATTCACAGCTACATTCTACCAGAAATACAAAGAGGAGCTGGTACCATTCCTTCTGAAACTATTTCAAATAACTGAAAAGGAGGGATTCATCCCTAACTCAATTTATGAAGCCAGCATCATACTGATAGCAAAACTGGGAAGAGACACAACAAAAAAAGAAAAAAATCAGTCCACTATTCCTGATTAATATTGATGCAAAAATCTTCAATAAAATACTGGCAAACTGAATCCAGCAGCACATCAAAAAACTTATCGACCGTGATCAAGTCGGCTTCATCACTCAGATGCAAGGCTGGTTCAACATGCACAAATCAATAAACATAATCTATTACATAAACAGAACCAAAGACAAAAGCCACATGATTATCTCAATAGATGCAGAAAAAGCCTTTGATAAAATTCAACATTCCTTCATGTTAAAAACTCTCAATGTACTAGGTATTGATTGAATATATCTAAAAATAATAAGAACTATTTATGACAAACTCATAGCCCATATCATATTGAATTGGCAAAAGTTGGAAGCATTCCCTTTGAAAACCTGTGCAAGGCAAGGATACCCTCTCTCATCACTCCTATTCAACATAGTATTGGAAGTTCTGGCCAGGGCAATCAGGAAAGAGAAAGAAAAAAGGCGGATTAAAATGGGAAGAGAGGAAGTCAAGTTGTCTCTCTTTGCAGATGACACGATTTTATATTTTAAAAAACCCCATCATATCAGCCCTTAAATTTCTTGACCTGATAAGCAACTTCAGGAAAGTCTCAGGATACAAAATCAATGTGCAAAAATCACAAGCATTCCTTTATGCCAACAATAGACAAGAAGAAAGCCATATCATGAATGAACTCCCATTTACAATTGCTACAAAGAGAATAAACTACCTACGAATACAGCTAACAAGGCATGTGAAGAGCCTCTTCAAATAGAACTACAAACCACTGCTCAAGGAAATAAGAGAGGACACAAACAAATGGAAAAACATTCCATCCTCATGGATAGGAAGAATAGGAAGAATCAATTTCGTGAAAATGGCCATACTGCCCAAAGCAATTTACAGATTCAATGTTATTCCCATCAAACTACCATTGACATTCTTCACAGAATTGGAAAAAAACTACTTTAAATGTCATATGGAACCAAAAAGGATCCCGTATAGCCAAGACAATCCTAAGCAAGAAGAATAAAGCTTCGGCAAAGACTTCATGACAAAAATTCCAAAAGCAATTGCAACAAAAGCCAAAATTGACAGATGGGATCTAATTAAACTAAGGAACTTCTGCAGAGCAAAATAAACTATCATAAGAATGAACAGGCAATCTACAGACTGGGAGAAAATTTTTGCAATCTACCCAACTGACAAAAGTCTATTATCCAGAATTTATAAGGAACTTAAACATATTGCAAGAAAAAAATAAACAGGCACATCAGAAAGCAGACAAAGGATATGAACAGACACTTCTCAAAAGAAGACATTTACACAGCCAAAAAACATATGAAAAAAAAAAGCTCAACATCAGTGATCATCTGAGAAATGCAAATCAAAAACACAATGAGATACCATCTCATGCCAGTCAAAATGGCGATTATTAAAAAGTCAGGAAACAACAGATGCTGGTGAGGGTGTGGAGAAATAGGAACACTTTTGCACTGTTGGTGGGAGTGTAAATTAGTTCAACCATTGTGGAAGACAGCATGGCAATTCCTCAAGGATCTAGAACCAGAAATACCATTTGACCCAGCAATCCCATTATTAGTATATACCCAAAGGAAAATAGTAAATTGTTATACTGTAAAGACACATGCACTCGTATGTTTATTGCAGAACTATTTATAATAGCAAAGACATGGAACCAACCCAAATGCCCATCAATGATAGACTAGATAAAGAAAATGTGGTACACATACCCCGTGGAATACTATGCAGCCATAAAAAGGAATGAGATCATGTCCTTTGTAGGGACATGAATGAAGCTGGAAGCCACCATCCTCGGCAAACTAACATAGGGACAGAAAACCAAACACTGCATGTTCTCACTTATAAATGGGAGTTGAACATTGAGAATACATGGACACAGAGAGGGGAACAACACACCAGGGCTTGTTGTGGGGTTGGGGGTGAGGGGAGAGAACTTAGGAGTCAGGTCAATAGGTGCAGCAAACCACCATAGCACATTTATACCTATGTAACAAACCTGCACATTCAGCACATGTATCCCGTTTTGTTTTTTTTTTAGGAGAAATAAAACACACACACACACACACACACACACACAAAAATTCAAGGATCCCATAATATCCCCCTTCAAAAAAGATAGTGAAGTTAAAATTAGTTATTCAGATGAACCCTAATCTAATATGGCTGGTGCCCATATAAGAAGAGGAGATTAAGACACAGACACTCATAGAGAGTGACCATTTGAATATGAAGGCAGTCAAAGAAATAGACCTCAGAAAAAACCATTTTGAACTTGGACCTGCAGTCTTTAGCACTGTGAGAAAATTAATTTCTGTTGTTTACACAGTCACACAGTCATTAGTAATTTGATGATCAAATAAAGAAGAAATTACTTTAGCATTAAAAAAATCTGGATCATGTGGACATTGCAGAAAACATCACATTGCTCCACTTTATTAATGTCCTCTACTCATTTTATTGAAAGATCAAGAAGTAGCTACACTATTGGAAAACTTGTGAGACATTCAATTCAGAGGATGAAGACTAAGCCCTATGAAGATTCAGAGACCAGTTCAGTAAAAATATTTACAGACCTATTAGAAGCATACTAGATATTGTTTCTAAATTAACAAATAAATTTAAGTATCTTATATGTTTTACTACAAAATAGGTACAATGCCTAATAGACCTATGCTCACTACTAAAGTACAATTTCACACATAGGATGCTTCTGTGACCCATAAAAAGGTAACCTGAGAGGCTTTGTGGGGTGTACATGTTGTGAGGTAAGTATTATTCCCCTATGGGCCATATGCTCCAATAGAACATAGTATTATGCTGAAAGGGTTATTAGTAAAAAAAAACATGTTGCGAGGTGTTTGTGGTGAGTCCTAGAGGAAAATTCAGAACATAGCCCACTGAGTCCTAGAACAAGACTATGCTATCTGTAGCAAATAACTATGTGTTTATTAAAAAAAATTACTCATCTGTCACCAAACCCTGATAGAGATGGAATTTTTAACCATTGGACACCATGCGAGCATGGATGTGGAACTGCCTAACATGAGCTCAGACCTTTGACACCCATCAAGTCATAAATAAGTCTGGGTTATCCTGCAATAATCCTTTGTAAGATGCAAATTGCATGTTTAATACTAAGTATAAGCAGAAAGAGGGGTTATAAGTAAGACACATGAGCAGGTATTGCCCCATGCTCCATGTACTCCGTCTGATCCCTCCTTGTTCAATGGAGTTTTACTTGTTTTCCTTCTTCAGCGCACAAGAAGGATATTTTTCCAAATGATCACATGCATAGGATAAAAAAATCCTGAGCTTGGCTTATGGATGAGTTTCCCAGGAAGTAAATGTAAGCTAAAAATACAGAATGACTGTACTACAGCTTTGCACATAAATGGCCTTGAAGGACAAAGTTTTTACCAATAGGTGATGCTTTAGAAAGTGCACCTATTCTTCTACTTTGTGTAGTAGGCAAAGTACTTTGAGAATAGAATATATATGGACACATTGGCAGTAGTCAGTAGTTTAAAACCCTCAGGAATAAAGATTTATTTCACACCACCAAGTAAACCAAATATGGTATCTGAGGGTAAACAAAATATAAAATAAATAATAGACAGACGATGAATAGCATTTAAGACCCTAAAATCAACTTTAGTGATGAGTACTGAAGTTTACCCCACTAAAAATACCCCCTTCTAATTCTTCCTTCAGGGAAAATAACCCATTTTGAAGGGGCTGCTTAAAAATTGGATCTATGTTGTATAATTAAGAGCTTGCTGCTCAGCTACAATGAATGTGCTTAGCTAACAGCCACTAGGTTTTAGTTCCTTTTCAGGATCTGCTTCAGTACTCAAGATGAGGCTAAGCTTCTTCAGGAAAAGCTTCTAGCCAATGACAGAGCAAGTCAGTGGTAGGTAAAGTCAAGCTCTTCTTAAGTTGGCACCCATATAGTAGCTGAGCAGGTAGGTGGTAGTGACATAGCCATTCTATCCAATATATAACTCTTTTAACAGGATATTTCTTTAGAGTTCATGATTGAGTTGCTACTCTGTTAGGTCTATATCTTGGTCTGACAATACCCTCTGATCATACTGCATCCCTTTCTTCTTTTAGAAGCTTCAGCCTTAATAATCCTTTTGCCCTATTAATTTTATCTTACCATCAGCTTCTCAATAAAACCTAATTTCAATGGTCTGCTATAATAAATTGGTATGTTTTCATTATTTTTATAGGGTTGTCAAGGTGTTATCATTAATTAATTTGTTCCTTTTGTTCTATAAGTATCTAAATACGTTTTTTTCAGAATCTGAGGATCTGGATTCTGTCCAAAGCTGTATGTTGGATACCTTGGTTATTCCCACAAAAATCTGGCCTTATAGAAATTAACATCAACAAGATAGCAAAATAGAAGATCTCAGGCAAATTTGGACAGCTAAAACATAAATGGAAAGAGGAGAAAGAAGTGTGTACTTATTGTATGCAATCAAGATTATCAGCTTTAAATCAACATTATCAGCTTCAAATAGACTATTCTAAATGCAAGATGTTCTTTGTAAGCCTCATGGTAACCAGAAAGCAAAAATCTACATGATATGCACAAAACAAAAATAAAAACATTCAAAACATATTGCTACAGAAAACCATCAAGCCACAAAGGAAGAGAGTAAGAGAGGAAGAAAGAACAAAAAGGTTACTTACAAAAATTCCAGAAAACAACAAAATGGCAGAATTAAGTCCTTACCTATCAATAATTACCTTAGATGTAAATGGATTATATTATAAAATAAAAATATATATAATGAGTAAATGAATTAAGAAAAATCAGACCCAACTATACGCTTCTTACAAGAGATGAAGTTTGCTTTTATGGGCACACATAGTCTGAAATTGAAGGATGGAAATAAGATATTTCACACAAATGGAAATCATAAAGGAGCAGGTGCAAAAATTTAGACAAACTAGATTTTAAATAGAGAAGAATAAAGGAGAAAAAGAAGGACATTTAAAAATTGATAAAAGAGTTAATTCATCAAGATAATATAACAATTATAAATTTGTATGAACTCAACAGTGGAGCATCTAAATATATAAGGCATATTAAAGGATATGAAAAGAGAGATAAGTTGCAATACAACAATAGTAGAAGACTTCAATACACCACTTTTAATATTGAACAGTTAATTGAGACCAAAAATTAATAAGAAAATACTGAACTTGAACAATGCTTTACAGAAGAACGCATATTCTTCTCAAACATACCTGGCATAATTTTCAGGATAGATCATATTTTGGTCACAAAACAAGTATTAGCAAATTGAAAAATGTTGAAATTATATCAAGTACCTTTTTAAACCCTAAAGGTATAAAATCAGAAATCAATAACTATAGGAATTTCAGAAAATTGACAAATGCATGAAAATGAATCAACATACCCACAATCAATAAATCAATGAAGAAATTAAAATAAAATGTACAAATAGCTTGAGACAAATAAAATGGAAACAAAATCTACTAAAATGTATGGAAAGAAGCAAAGAAGTTTTCCAAGGAAACTTTATAGCAAGAAATGCCTACATCTGAAAAGAAGAAAGATTGCAAACAACTTGATGTTACAACCCAAGATAATAGAAAAGGAAAAAAATACAATCAATGTTAGCAAAAGGGGGAAAAAGAGATCAAAACAGAAAAGAATAAAACAGCAACTAGATAAATAATGCAAAAGAGCAAAAAAACTAAGAGTTGGTTTTCTGAAAAGAGTAACAAAATTGACAAACGTTTAGGAAGATTAACCAAGAGTATAAGAGAAAAGACTCAAAGGAATAAAATCAGAAATGAAAGAAGGAACATTAGAACTGACACCTCAGAAATACAAACAGTCATAACAGACTATCATGAATAATTATATGCCAAAGTGTGGATAACCTAAAAGAAATTGATAAATTATTTGACATAACCTACCAAGCCTGAATTACGAAGAAATAGAAAATCTAGACGGACCAATACTGAGTGAAAAGATTGAATCAGTAATAAAATGTATTCCATCATAAAAGGCCCAGGACCTGATGACTTCACTGCTGAATTCTACCAAACATTTAAAAAACTGATACCAATTTCTCAAAAATGACTTCAAAGAATTGAAGGGGTGGGAACAGTCAAACCCGTTTCACTAGGCTAGCATTAACCTGATACCAAAGCCAGACAAGGACATCACTAGAAAAGAAAACTACAAGCCAATATTTTTGGGAAACAGAGATACAAAAATCATGAACAAAACACAGGCAAACTAAATGCAATAACAAAAGAATCATTTATTATGATGAAGTGAGATTTATCTCTGGGATTCAAGGATGGTTCGACATTTGCGAATCAATAAATGTGATTCACAGCATAAACAAAATGAAGGACAAAAATTATATGACCATCTCATAAGATGCTTATAAAACATTTGACAAAGTTCAATATCCTTTCTTATAAAAACTCTCTCAACAAATTAGATATACAAGAAATGTACATCAACACAATAAAAAAATGTATTACAAACACACAGATAACACACAAAGGAGAAAAGTTGAAAGCTTTTCTTCTAAGATCAGGAACAGGACAAGGATGCCCACTCTCAACAGTCCTATTCAATGTAGTACAGGAGGTCCTAGCCAGAACAATTAGGCAGGAGAGTGACAGGAAAGACATGCAACTTGGAAAGAGACAAGTTAAGTTGTCTGTTTCCAGACTATATAATTTTATGTATAGAAAACACTAAAGATTTCAACAAAAATAATAGAACTGGTAAATGATTTCAGCAAAGTTGCAGGACACTAAATCAACATGTAAAAATCAGCAGTGTTTCTCTACCCCAACAATAAAATTTCTGAAAAATATAACCAAGGGAATAATCACATTTACAATAGCTACAAAAAAATTAAAATGAGTTTTACACTAAAAACTAGGAAACATTAATGAATGAAACTTAAGACATCCAAATGGCTAACAGATATATGAAAAATGCTCAACACCGCTAATCATTAAGGAGATGCAAATTAAAACCACATGAGATATTACCTCACACCAATTACAATGGCTATTATTAAAAAGGCAAAAGATAACCAATTCTGGTAAGGATATGAAGAAAACAGATTTCTTGTACATTGCTTGTAGGAATATAAATTAGTATAATCATATAGAAAATAGTCTCTAAAGTTTCCAAAAAATAAAAATAAAAAGTAGAATTACTCTATGATCTAGCAATCCTACTTCT
Source organism: Homo sapiens (assembly GCF_000001405.40). Classification (NCBI taxonomy): domain Eukaryota; kingdom Metazoa; phylum Chordata; class Mammalia; order Primates; family Hominidae; genus Homo; species Homo sapiens. The sequence goes on along the minus strand of NW_013171800.1, from coordinate 126,844 downwards.
GGGCATTTACCTGAAAGATTTGAAATCAGTGTGTCAAAGAGATGTTTACACTCCCATGTTCATTGCAGTACTGTGTATAATGGCTAACCTATGAATTCAACATAAGTTTTCTTCAAGGGACGGATGATAAAAAAATTCTGTCATTTGTGACATCATAGAACATTAGCAAAATGTTCTCCAATTCCATTCATGAAATGAAACATGTCAAACACAGACAAATACCAAATGTTCTCACTTATATGTAGAATCTAAACCAATTGAATTAATGGAAGCAGAGAGTAGAAGGGTGGTATCCAGAAACTGGGATGTGAGGGAAACAGGAATAGTCAAAGGGCATAAAGGTACAAAGCCTCAGACAGTAGGAATATGCACATTTTTTAGAACAATTACACAGCATGGTGAATATAGCTATAACTGAATATTGTACAGTTAAATTTTATTAAGAAAGTAAATTTCAAATGCCCTTATCAAAAAATTATTAAATATTTGGGATAACAAATATGTTAAGCTTTATTTAACCATTACACATTGTTTTCAGAAATTATAATATCACCCTGTATGCAAAACATACATACATCACCATACATATAATTTGTCAACAAAAAGGAATTCACAGAATAATACAAATAATGAGATACATTCATAGATAAAAATATGGTATTTATTGTTATTAAGCAAACTTTCAAGAAATAAGCACTGTGAGCATTTTTTTTTTCATACTTTAAGTTTTAGGGTACATGTGCACAACGTGCAGGTTTGTTACATATGTATACATGTGCTATGTTAGTGTGCTACACCCATTAACTCATCATTTACATTAGGTATATCTCCTAATGCTATCCCTCCCCGCTCCCCCCACCCCACAACAGGCCCCTGTGTGTGATGTTCCCCTTCCTGTGTCCATGTGTTCTCATTGTTCAATTCCCACCTATGAGTGAGAACATGAGGTGTTTGGTTTTTTGTCCTTGCGATAGTTTGCTGAGAATGATGGTTTCTAGCTTCATCCATGTCCCTACAAAGGACATGAACTCATCATTTTTTATGGCTGCATAGTATTCCATGATCTATATGTGCCACATTTTCTTAATCCAGTCTATCATTGTTGGACATTTGGGTTAGTTCCAAGTCTTTGCTATTGTGAATAGTGCCACAATAAACATATGTGTGCATGTGTCTTTATAAGCAGCATGATTTATAATCCATTGGGTATATACCCAGTAATGGGATGGCTGGGTCAAATGGTATTTCTAGTTCTAGTGAGCATTTAGATAAGCAAGCCATTGTTTTCTTTGAGGAATGCAGGCATCATAGAGGATGTAGTATCTATTACTGTGAAAATTTTCATCCTATGAGTCTTGAAAGGAGGCAGAGCCCATCTACCATGGTAGACGTCAAAGATACAGATATAGATTTCTGTAGCCTTCCTTAGAGAAAGGGTACTACTACATGACCTAGATTTACTGGTCAGATTCCACCCATCCTACTTCTGAACTTTGAATCAGTTCATTTCAAAAGAAAAGGGACAGTAGAGAAAACATCTCGGTGTTGATGGTGAAGTGGTAGTGTAGCATCCAGGTTCCAGGCTCAGCAGTAGAAGCATCAATTGTCCTGCAGCAGCAACTAAAATAGCGCCAGCTTAGCAGGGCAGCTCTGTCCTCATGGGCCTGGCTCTGGAACTTGATATTTACCAGTTGGCTGCTGCCTGGCCTCCCTTGTGTCTGACCATTCTCGAACTTGGTTCACAATTTTTCCTTTCACACCACTAGCTACTAAATACTTATTCAATACATTTATATTCTGTGTAAATGAGACAGTGTTGTTTTCTGTTGCTTGCTTCAAAAAACACCAGCTGATACAGAGAGATGATGCATGAACACACACAGATGGATGAGGTAAAACAGAATAGAAAAGTCAAAAATTTAGAATTCTCGATTTTTCTGTTGCCTACAACCACTACATCGAAACTTCTAGCTAAATCTACTGTTTTATTCTCCAAAACATATCTTCCTGTATTTATTGTCCATCTCCATTACTATGACCCTGTTGAAGCCACATCTCTTTCCTATGTTAAGCAAAATTTTATGTAAATATCCTCTCTAGGTCCCAAATTAATTTAAGCTTCTCATAAGCCAGTGGCTAAAAGGTTTAGAAAACCAAAGGAGAGTTATCAATTAGAAAGCTTTTGCAAAAACTATTTTCTACTTAAGATAGCATTGGATTTTAACCAGACATTCACTGCAATGGATTTTCAGACCTCTGTTTTTTTCTTTCTTTTTTTTTTTTTCAGGCCTTGAAGTTGTAGTAGAATTGTAAAAGGCTCTTCATCTCCCGCTCTCTTCTACATATAGAAAGCAGGAGAAATAAATTCATCTATTGTCACATTTTCTGGAAACAGTCTGGTTACCCCTGTTTCTCCCTTGAGGTGACCAGCCTGCTTCAACTGAATGCTCAACAGAGATATCATATTACAGTTTTACTTTCTCATTTTGAACATGGAAAGACTAGCTTCCTCTATTTTTTAGAGGCTATATTGCAATGTAGTAAGAATTTATGGAAAATTCTCACAACAAAATTGAATATAGAAAGACTACAGAATACTTCCTCCTTTGGTGATTACTCATGTAACTGTTTTCCAACTCATAAAGTAAGCAAGTTAAACTCTTCTCCTATCACTCCAAGAAAATGTGAACTGTTCATTTGTCTGGAAAAATCTATAATTGAATCCATCTGTGCCTGTGGGTTTCAGTTTATTTTCCCTTTTCTTTCAGTGAAGGGTTTTAAGTGACAAATTTGATTCCTTAATAGATATCAGACAATTCTAATATTTAACTTCTTCTTTTGTCATCTTTACTAAGTTATATTGTCCCAGGAATTTGTCTATTTTATTCACATTGTCAAATTTTTGTCATACAGTTTTTCAGAATGTCACGTCTAAATATCTTTTGATCTGTGAAGATTTGTAGTGATATGATATTAATAGCACCCATAATATTAATTTTCTTCTCTTATTGTATCAATCAGTCTTTTTAGTGTTTATCAATTGTGTTAATGTTATTAACGTGTCAAATTTTGGCTCTTGTCTTATGATTTATATTTATTTTATTAATATCTGCATTTATATTTATTATTCATTTAGGTTTTTCATCTTTATACAAATTAAATACAAATAATACAAAATTTCGTATAGTTACAAAGTAAAATGCAAGAATAAAAATGTTATTTAGCAGCAAATTAAAGAACTATGTGATGAGGAGTAAAATAGAAATGGAAGTACTCATTGCTTTACCATTTTATGTGAGATTATCTAGATACATTTTCAGTTGCTAAATTATTCAAAAGAAGATTAAGTATATTCTTAAAAATCATAATTACTGAAAAAACTAAGATTTCAGAAATTTCTGACAAAATCTGAAGAGTTGAAAAGTGGAAATGGTATTTTTATTATTTAAATGTATCAGCTAAATTTCTCATATGGGAGTGCCAAATTTGATAATCAAGAAAGAGTAGTATTAATATATTATTTCCTGTTCTTTTGGTAACCATAATGTATCAGCTAACATTTGAGTCAACTTTGAAGAATGGGGGAAAGTTATGGAGACAATGGAAACAGAGGATTTTTTCCCTCTCACATGATAATGTTTATGGACAGACATTTTTTTGTGTTACAGCACGGCTCCTTTTATTTTCTGCTTCTGCAGGCCCCTGCTCTATGCTGTTCTGTGAGCCTAGGTCTGACACTTTCAAATTAGGATATAAGATAGCTGCTAATATTCAAGAGCTAACTACAAGAAAATGAAACATGCAGAAGATAGGTGTCTCTTTTCTCATTAAAAACTTCTCTCTAAATTAGAACATACGTTTCTGTTTATGTCTCATAAACCAAATTGTAGCTAAATGATGTCTTCTAGGCAAGATAGGTTACAAAGTATTGTTTTAGTTCTTTTGGCAGTAGACATAACTAAGGGTAAGCCACAAGATGGTGAGAACACATATTGGGGTAAGCAGCAAGCGGTCTCCACAAGACACTAAAATAACGTTATGGAGAAAGAGTTAAAAGATATTACCGCTGAGGAGAGGAGCCAAGATGGCCGAATAGGAACAGCTCCGGTCTACAGCTCCCAGCGTGAGCGACGCAGAAGACGGTGATTTCTGCATTTCCATCTGAGGTACCGGGTTCATCTCGCCAGACAGTGGGTGCAGGTCAGTGGGTGCGCGCACCGTGCGTGAGCCGAAGCAGGGCGAGGCATTACCTCACTTGGGAAGTGCAAGGGGTCAGGGAGTTCCCTTTCCAAATCAAAGAAAGGGGTGACGGACGGCATCTGTAAAATCAGGTCACTCCCACCCGAATACTGCACTTTTCCGAAGGGCTTAAAAAACGGCACACCACGAGATTATATCCCACACATGGCTTGGAGGGTCCTACGCCCATGGAGTCTCCCTGATTGCTAGCACAGCAGTCTGAGATCAAAGTGCAAGGCAGCAGCAAGGCTGGGGGAGGGGCGCCCGCCATTGCCCAGGCTTGCTTAGGTAAACAAAGCAGCCGGGAAGCTCCAACTGGGCGGAGCCCACCACAGCTCAAGGAGGCCTGCCTGCCTCTGTAGGCTCCACCTCTGCGGGCAGGGCACAGACAAACAAAAAGACAGCAGTAACCTCTGCAGACTTAAATGTCCCTGTCTGACAGCTTTGAAGAGAGCAGGGGTTCTCCCAGCACGCAGCTGGAGATCTGAGAACGGGCAGACTGCCTCCTCAAGTGGGTCCCTGACCCCTGAGCAGCCTAACTGGGAGGCACCCCCCAGCAGGGGCACACTGACACCTCACACAGCAGGGTATTCCAACAGACCTGCAGCTGAGAGTCCTGTCTGTTAGAAGGAAAACTAACAGAAAGGACATCCACACCAAAAACACATCTGTACATCACCATCATCAAAGACCAAAAGTAGATAAAACCACAAAGATGGGGAAAAAACAGAACAGAAAAACTGGAAACTCTAAAAAGCAGAGCACCTCTCCTCCTCCAAAGGAACGCAGTTCCTCACCAGCAACGGAACAAAGCTGGATGGAGAATTACTTTGACGAGCTGAGAGAAGAAGGCTTCAGATGATCAAATTACTCTGAGCTATGGGAGGACATTCAAACCAAAGACAAAGAAGTTGAAAACTTTGAAAAAAATTTAGAAGAATGTATAACTAGAATAACCAATACAGAGAAGTGCTTAAAGGAGCTGATGGAGCAGAAAACCAAGGCTCGAGAACTACGTGAAGAATGCAGAAGCCTCAGGAGCCGATGTGATCAACTGGAAGAAAGCGTATCAGCGATGGAAGATGAAATGAATGAAATGAAGCGAGAAGGGAAGTTTAGAGAAAAAAGAATAAAAAGAAATGAGCAAAGCCTCCAAGAAATATGGGACTATGTCAAAAGACCACATCTACGTCTGATTGGTGTACCTGAAAGTGACAGGGAGAATGGAACCAAGTTGGAAAACACTCTGCAGGATATTATCCAGGAAAACTTCCCCAATCTAGCAAGGCAGGCCAACGTTCAGATTCAGGAAATACAGAGAACGCCACAAAGATACTCCTCAAGAAGAGCAACTCCAAGACACATAATTGTCAGATTCACCAAAGTTGAAATGAAGGAAAAAATGTTAAGGGCAGCCAGAGAGAAAGGTCGGGTTACCCTCAAAGGGAAGCCTATCAGACTAACAGCGGATCTCTCGGCAGAAACCCTACAAGCCAGAAGAGAGTGGGGGCCAATATTCAACATTCTTAAAGACAAGAATTTTCAACCCAGAATTTCATATCCAGCCAAACTAAGCTTCGTAAGTGAAGGAGAAATAAAATACTTTACAGACAAGCAAATGCTGAGAGATTTTGTCACCACCAGGCCTGCCCTAAAAGAGCTCCTGAAGGAAGCGCTAAACATGGAAAGCAACAACCGGTACCAGCCGCTGCAAAATCATGCCAAAATGTAAAGACCATCAAGACTAGGAAGAAACTGCATCAACTAACGAGCAAAATAGCCAGCTAACATCATAATGACAGGATCAAATTCACACATAACAATATTAACTTTAAATGTAAATGGACTAAATGCTCCAATTAAAAGACACAGACTGGCAAATTGGATAAAGAGTCAAGACCCATCAGTGTGCTGTATTCAGGAAAACCATCTCACGTGCAGAGACACACATAGGCTCAAAATAAAAGGATGGAGGAAGATCTACCAAGCAAATGGAAAACAAAAAAAGGCAGGGGTTGCAACACTAGTCTCTGATAAAACAGACTTTAAACCAACAAAGATGAAAAGAGACAAAGAAGGCCATTGCATAATGGTAAAGGGATCAATTCAACAAGAAGAGCTAACTATCCTAAATATATATGCACCCAATACAGGAGCACCAGGACTCATAAAACAAGTCCTGAGTGACCTACAAAGAGACTTAGACTCCCACACATTAATAATGGGAGACTTTAACACCCCACTGTCAACATTAGACAGATCAACGAGACAGAGAGTCAACAAGGATACCCAGGAATTGAACTCAGCTTGCACCAAGCAGACCTAATAGACATCTACAGAACTCTCCACCCCAAATCAACAGAATATACATTTTTTTCAGCACCACACCACACCTATTCCAAAATTGACCACATAGTTGGAAGTAAAGCTCTTCTCAGCAAATGTAAAAGAACAGAAATTATAACAAACTCTCTCTCAGACCACAGTGCAATCAAACTAGAACTCAGGATTAAGAATCTCACTCAAAACCACTCAACTACATGGAAACTGAACAACCTGCTCCTGAATGACTACTGGGTACATAATGAAATGAAGGCAGCAATAAAGATGTTCTTTGAAACGAACGAGAACAAAGACACAACATACCAGAATACCTGGGACACATTCAAAGTAGTGTGTAGAGGGAAATTTATAGCACTAAATGCCCACAAGAGAAAGCAGGAAAGATCCAAAATTGACACCCTAAAATCACAATTAAAAGAACTAGAAAAGCAAGAGCAAACACATTCAAAAGCTAGCAGAAGGCAAGAAATAACTAAAATCAGAGCAGAACTGAAGGAAATAGAGACACAAAAAACCCTTCAGAAAATTAATGAATCCAGGAGCTGGTTTTTTGAAAGGATCAACAAAATTGATAGACCACTAGCAAGACTAATAAAGAAAAAAAGATGAATCTAATAGACGCAATAAAAAATGATAAAGGGGATATCACCACCAATCCCACAGAAATACAAACTACCATCAGAGAATACTACAAACACCTCTACGCAAATAAACTAGAAAATCTAGAAGAAATGGATAAATTCCTCGACACATACACTCTCCCAAGACTAAACCAGGAAGAATTTCAGTCTCTGAATAGACCAATAACAGGATCTGAAATTGTGGCAATAATCAATAGCTTACCAACCAAAAAGAGTCCAGGACCAGATGGAATCACAGCCAAATTCTACCAGAGGTACAAGGAGGAACTGGTACCATTCCTTCTGAAACTATTCCAATCAATAGAAAAAGAGGGAATCCTCCCTAACTCATTTTATGAGGCCAGCATCATTCTGATACCAAAGCCTGGCAGAGACACAACCAAAAAAGAGAATTTTAGACCAATATCCTTGATGAACATTGATGCAAAAATCCTCAATAAAATACTGGCAAAACGAATCCAGCAGCACATCAAAAAGCTTATCCACCATGATCAAGTGGGTTTCATCCCTGGGATGCAAGGCTGGTTCAATATACGCAAATCAATAAATGTAATCCAGCATATAAACAGAGCCAAAGACAAAAACCACATGATTATCTCAATAGAGGCAGAAAAAGCCTTTGACAAAATTCAACAACCCTTCATGCTAAAAACTCTCAATAAATTAGGTATTGATGGGACGTATTTCAAAATAATAAGAGCTATCTATAACAAACCCACAGCCAATATCATACTGAATGGGAAAAAACTGGAAGCATTCCCTTTGAAAACTGGCACAAGACAGGGATGCCCTCTCTCACCACTCCTATTCAACATAGTGTTGGAAGTTCTGGCCAGGGCAATTAGGCAGGAGAAGGAAATAAAGGGTATTCAATTAGGAAAAGAGGAAGTCAAATTGTCCCTGTTTGCAGATGACATGATTGTATATCTAGAAAACCCAATTGTCTCAGCCCAAAATCTCCTAAAGCTGATAAGCAACTTCAGCAAAGTCTCAGGATACAAAATCAATGTACAAAAATCACAAGCATTCTTATACACCAAAAACAGACAAACAGAGAGCCAAATCATGAGTGAACTCCCATTCACAATTGCTTCAAAGAGAATAAAATACCTAGGAATCCAACTGACAAGGGATGTGAAGGACCTCTTCAAGGAGAACTACAAACCACTGCTCAAGGAAATAAAAGAGGATACAAACAAATGGAAGAACATTCTATGCTCATGGGTAGGAAGAATCAGTATCATGAAAATGGCCATACTGCCCAAGGTAATTTACAGATTCAATGCCATCCCCATCAAGCTACCAATGCCTTTCTTCACAGAATTGGAAAAAACTACTTTAAAGTTCATATGGAACCAAAAAAGAGCCCGCATCACCAAGTCAATCCTAAGCCAAAAGAACAAAGCTGGAGGCATCACACTACCTGACTTCAAACTATACTACAATGCTACAGTAACCAAAACAGCATGGTACTGGTACCAAAACAGAGATATATAGATCAATGGAACAGAACAGAGCCCTCAGAAATAACGCCGCATATCTACAACTATCTGATCTTTGACAAACCTGAGAAAAACAAGCAATGGGGAAAGGATTCCCTATTTAGTAAATGGTGCTGGGCAAACTGGCTAGCCATATGTAGAAAGCTGAAACTGGATCCCTTCCTTACACCTTATACAAAAATCAATTCAAGATGGATTAAAGACTTAAACATTAGACCTAAAACCATAGAAACCCTAGAAGAAAACCTAGGCATTACCATTCAGGACATAGGCATGGGCAAGGACTTCATGTCTAAAACACCAAAAGCAATGGCAACAAAAGACAAAATTGACAAATGGGATCTAATTAAACTAAAGAGCTTCTGCACAGCAAAAGAAACTACCATCAGAGTGAACAGGCAACCTACAAAATGGGAGAAAATTTTTGCAACCTACTCATCTGACAAAGGGCTAATATCCAGAATCTACAATGAACTCAAACAAATTTACAAGAAAAAAACAACCCCATCAAAAAGTGGGCAAAGGACATGAACAGACAGTTCTCAAAAGAAGACATTTATGCAGCCAAAAAACACATGAAAAAATGCTCATCATCACTGGCCATCAGAGAAATGCAAATCAAAACCACAATGAGATACCATCTCACACCAGTTAGAATGGCAATCATTAAAAAGTCAGGAAACAACAGGTGCTGGAGAGGATGTGGAGAAATAGGAACACTTTTACACTGTTGGTGGGACTGTAAACTAGTTCAACCATTGTGGAAGTCAGTGTGGCGATTCCTCAGGGATCTAGAACTTGAAATACCATTTGACCCAGCCATCCCATTACTGGGGATATACCCAAAGGACTATAAATCATGCTGCTATAAAGACACATGAACATGTATGTTTATTGCGGCATTATTCACAATAGCAAAGACTTGGAACCAACCCAAATGTCCAACAATGATGGACTGGATTAAGAAAATGTGGCACATATAGACCATGGAATACTATGCAGCCATAAAAAATGATGAGTTCATGTCCTTTGTAGGGACATGGATGAAATTGGAAAACATCATTGTCAGTAAACTATCACAAGAACAAAAAACCGAACACCGCATATTCTCACTCATAGGTGGGAATTGAACAATGAATTCACATGGACACAGGAAGGGGAATATCACACTCTGGGGACTGTTGTGGAGTGGGGGGAGGTGGGAGGGATAGCATTGGGAGATATACCTAATGCTAGATGACGAGTTAGTGGGTGCAGTGCACCAGCATGGCACATGTATACATATGTAACTAACCTGCACAATGTGCACATGTACCCTAAAACTTAAAGTATAATAAAAAAAAAAAAAAGATATTACCGCTGAGTTACACAAAGTATGGGTTGGACATAACAGTATTTATTTTTAATTGCAAATATAGAAAATGCTATTTACTAGGAAAATATGCAATAGCCATCAAAATTATGTAGAATAGGCTACATAGTAATATAGAACAATATTGATAATATATTGATTAGTAGAATAAAATGATAAATGATCAGTATAGCACTATTATTTTTAAGGTACTATGTATGTTTGCATCCATGTAAGTAAATGAAATTATTATAAGACTTTTAAAAGGAAAGATATCAAGAGTCATCATTGTTTACTTGGGAACTTTGCTAATTTGTCCTAAAATATTTCATGGTCATATATTGTATAAGTTTATAGGCACGAAGCTGATCATTTTGGGGGAAAAAAGCTAATCTGCATGATTCAAATTCAGATAAAAAGATTTTAGGCTTTCAGGTAACCTACGGTATCTTCTAGGCTGGTCATGTTACCAGGCTGTTACAACTTCATGAAATATTTTTGTAGCAAAAATGGTATTAAGTGACTTTAAATTTATGTTTTGAAAAATTTTATAAGTAAAAGCAATCAGTTTTGTTATTATTGCATCATTAGCTCCACTGTCTCTAAGTGGTAATAAATTCAAATATAAAAAATGATTAATTACTTGTGTTAGCTCTACATGAAGTACTGGTTGACTAGATAGACTAGTGAGAAGTACAAAATGACCTGGTGAGATGCCATCTGTATTTCTGTCCAACCTTATAAAAACATTTCTCCTGCTTTCATTATCACAGTGCTCAATAACAATTTAACAGAAGTTTTATCACCAGGACATCATGGGTGTATTTCATACTCCCTTGATATGCTTTGATTGCCTCCTGAAACATTTTAGGGTTAATTGTCTTTATTAAGCATATTTCCATATCTCCTTGGAATCCACAACATAGACTTTTACAAATCTCTAAAAATAATTACCATGTCAGTTTAAAACCAAGTCATATGCCAAAAGGCAAGAAATAGAAAATTTGAAAATGAATATTACTCCTAATTTCAAGCCAACAGCTCAACTGATTAGGTTTATATAGTTGATTATTCAAATGGTAAATGCTATAAGTAAAATTGAGTCTTTTTTTACATATTGTTGATCTCTCTTTCAAAAGATTATTTACATATTAAAGTATAACATCAAGAACCCTCTCAGGTAGCTATCTCTAGCTTTGAAAATAATGTGGTCTACTCTATCTTCTCTCCATTTTTTTTTTTTTTCTGTTTGTTGATTAAAAAAATTCTATATAATTTTTAAATAAATAATTATATAATATATGGGTTATGTTTTTATAAACATGTGATGTTATATTCATATCTAATGAAATAATAGTAATTTATTAATGTCTAATACTGAATCCAGGTATAAATTTTCTAAATTCTTTCAAAAGTTTTTAATTTGTCCAAAGTAGAATCTCAGTATGGTTCACATATTTCATTTGGTTGGTATAATCAAGGCTTATGCAATCTATACTGTCCCCTCACAGTTTTACACTATTTATCTGTGGAGGAAAACAGTGTCTTTACCTCTAAAATTTCTGTTCCATATTTGACTGCTTCCTCATGTTATCAGTCAACTTATTCTTTGCTCATGTTTTTTTCTAAGCTATTTGTTGCATCTGGAGACTGGGTTAACTTTTAGATAAGTTTATATTTTAGGCAAAAAATGCTCCATAGGCCATTCTGTATATGTCTTAGTAGCTTCAACAGAAGGCAATAATGTTTATGTGTTCCAAATATAGAGATATTAACTTCTATTAGTAAGTTTAGGTTTTATCTGCTTGACTCATTAGTTATGAAGTTCTCCCTGAAGCTGTTTCCTATTGGTTTTGAATCAACAGAAGATTTTGTAGTTGAATCCATTTTTAATGATACACTGCATAAAGATTAATTTGCTAATTATGTTATTTCCTCCGTATTTATTACTTGAAATTGTTTTACAAAGTACTCTTCTTCAGCTATTTATTTAAAAAATAAATTTCATCATAAACTTACAGTAAATATGCTTGATATAGTCTTTGTATCAGTTTGTTGTTAGTGCCCTCTAAAAGTCACCAAATGGATTTTTAGTATCATCCTAAACACATGATTTTAGTGTTGCTAATATACTTCAATACATCTTAGTTATTACCTTTACGTTTAATTTCCCTCATCTTTAGCCAGTAATAATTTTTATCCTGTGGCTTTTTAAAAAATTCCAGTAGTTTATCATAACTTACCTTCTGGTTAAGCAGAATATCTTAGTCCTATCTTTATAAATTGCGTGTTCCAGGTGGAGAATTTTATTTATAATTGGTATGTTATTGATAAGGGTGTTCTTAAATATTCTTGTGTTTCAGTTTTTATGCTTATTTATTCCTAACTTCTTAAAGAAAATATTCTACGTAATACTGGATATCAAATTTGTTCAAACTTGCTCAGTTTGGCTTGGCAAATGTCAACTTTTTAAATTTTTCAAGTCCATTTGTGAAAATGAATTTTTTAATTGTAAGATATAGAATTCTCTGTATGATTTTTAACAAAGCTAATTTATTATGGTGCTTAAATCATTACATAATCATTTCATGATGTTATCAATTACTAAGAGATGTGTGTTAAAATATCCCCATGAAACTGTAGAGTAGTGATTCTGCCAAATTTTACTTTATATACTTTGGGGTTACTTTGTAAATAGTAGACAAGTTTAGAATTCTTAATCTTCTTGTTGTATTCTCTCATTATTATACAGAGGATATTTTTATAAAATTACAAATAATACAAATGTGGATAGAATGGTAAGTAGATGATAAATATACTCCAGATAGATAGAATGTTATGGTATAAATCCATATAAATAAGCATTCTTTGGGTAGAATTTTTCTATTTTACTGGATTAATTTTGCCCATCTTTTACCTTCAAAGTTTCTTATATTTGTTTCTTATAACTTATATTTTAGTTGTGTCGTAAAGAGCTTATATTCATTATTTTTAATTTATCTCATCTGCAAATCAAGATATTTAAATTAGTAATATTAGTTCACTTTTATTTTAATTATGATTGCCAGTATAAAATATATTTATTGTTATGATATAAATTATATTTATATCTCTCTGGATTGTATTTGTCATCTATTTACCTATCTCTCCATATTTGTATTATGTAAGTATATAAAATAAAATTATATAAAGTATGTAAAGTAAAATTTGGCAGAATTACTAACTCTACAGTTTCACAGTGAATATTTTAATACATATTATACTTTCTCTTTTTCTATTTAACTTGTGTTCTTCAATTATATTTTCTTTTCTCCTTAAATTTTTTGTGAGGTTGGAGTAATTAGAGGTTTAGATTTTTATTCTTTTGTATCTATTTGTCTGATAGTTACATATTTCATTGCTATTTTTAAATTATGTGCATATTGAACAAAATTTCAAGATAAGCCAGAAATAACCAAACATTGTAATGATATGTTTAAAACATTTAGATAAAATTAAATGAATGAAAGAATGAATCAATCACTGAAGAAATGAATGAAAAATAATGGATGTGAAACAGAATCAGCTTATGGGTGGTCAGTTTGGAAATTCTTTTTATTGGGAAAGAAGGGCAATAAGTCTTGTGTTATTTTACTCTTTGTGACAATTGAAATACTTTTTCTTTCATATCTTGGATATTCATTTATTCAGGAATATTGAAAAACAAGAAAGAAGACTTGTGATAGCTTCATTAGTAAACATGTCATTTAATTGACCTACAACATATGAAAAAAATAAAAAAGTATATCTTTTAAATATACTGTTTCCAAATCAGATCTTCTCTTATCAGATAAAAATAGATGATTATGTAAAAAGGAAAATAAGGGAAGATTCTGCATAAACTTAAGTTACGGCTCAGTTTTAAATTTTAGAACATAGCATCAAGCTATTTTAAGTATACATCTTTAAACACTGGGCTCATTTCCATTTATACTTTGCTTGCCTATGTTCTATTTGTAATACATTATAAAGCTTAAAAGAAAAAATACTTTATTTATTTAAAAACTTTGTTAAGAATAAAGTAATTTCTAATTAAACTATAATGAGCTGACCACATCCATGGTCTTCTAACTGGCAGTCACCACAACTGAATTTGATAAGGCCCAAGAGACAAGTCCTGTGACTTTTTTCACACAATCAATCAGTTCACACACACTTACAGACATTGAAGAATTTATCATTTCGGGTGAGGTAGAACGAAGGAACTTATCTTTCATAATGCAAGAAGTTTTCATAGTTGAAGGACAATCATATTATGTCATCATTTATTTAAAATAGAAACAAAATTATAGATAACATTACTTTCACTTAATTTTAATTTAAAATGTTTGACCCATAGTTTTATGACTGTTTCTGTGGGGCAAAATGATATAGCTGGAAGATAAAATTGTACATTAAAATTAAAATTTTCCTATGAGGAAATATAGGAAAAAATAATGTTTATAACTCCAACTTACTGACTGCTTAGCATGTGCCAAGTACTCTGATAAGCACTTTACATGCAGGGCACAAAGCTTCTATGAATAGTAAATAGGATAAATTGAATTTAAAACCAAACTTTTATTGATGCTAAAAGCAATGTATGACACAATATCAGTAGTATAAGCACACTTAAATATGTTCTCTCTCATTTAAATATTATCATTATTGTTTTATTTTATTTTATTTTATTTTGTTGAGATGGAGTCTTGTTCTGTCACCCAGGCTGGAGTGCAGTGGCATGATCTCAGGTCACTGCAAGCTCTGCCTCCCAGGTTCATGCCATTCTCCTGCCTCAGCCTCCCGAGTAGCTGGGACTACAGGCACCCGCCACCACACCTGGCTAATTTTTGTATTTTTAGTAGAGACAGGGTTTCACCGTGTTAGCCAGGATGGTCTTGACCTCCTGACCTCATGATCCATCCGCCCAGGTCTTCCAAAGTGCTTGGATTACAGGCGTGAGCCACCGCACACCTGCCTAAATATTATATTTTTTAACTTATGTAAGTTTACATTATTGTTTCTATTCATCTCTTCATTTTGTCTAGTTCATTGACTAGCTTAGGTCCTAATTTTCAGGCACACTTCCATGTCTATATTCAGCCATATCAACCTGACTCACTCGTGATTTCTTTTTCTTTAATCTACCCTGGTCATGTTCTTGTTTCATGATATCCTCACTTCTCTGTAACTACTTGACTAAAATTTTAGATTTATTTTTGACAAGTGTTATTCAATCAAGCTGTGTCTACCACAACTAGAATTTCTAGCTATTGTTTAAGGGCATTACCTTTAGAGGTTGGGTTTCTCTTGCTCTGAGTATTTGTCAGGTCCAAATTCTTGGTCTGTAAATATTATTAATGAAATGTGTACTTGCATTCAAAGCCTTGTATAGATTATTTCTCATATACATTTTCATATTTATCCCTTAGTTACCATATGACCACTTTGATCCATGGTTTATACAATATGTAGACCTTTGCTCTTTTTGCTTAAACATTTTCTTTTATCTAGTTAGGATTAATGGATTTATGTTGGGAGTGGTTATGATATTTTAAAGGGAGAGGTTTTCTATAAGCAAGGGTAGAATTTTAAGAGTGTAGGAGACAAGTTTATTATTAAAGCAATGGAATGTCTACTGAAGCTTTTAAACATACGAAAGCAATACAAAGTCATTTTCCTTTTATTTTTGATTTCTTCAAAAAAAAAATGGGATACATGTGCAGAATGTGCAGGTTTTTTACATAGGTATATGTGTTCCATGGTGGTTTCCTGCACCTATTGACCTGTCCTCTAAGTTCCCTCTCCTCCCCCCACCCACCCCACAACATTCCCTGGTGTGTGTTGTGTCCATGTCTGTGGCCATGTGTTCTCAATGTTCAACTCCCATTTATAAGTAAGAACATGCGGTGTTTGGTTTTCTGTTCCTGTGCTAGTTTGCTGAGGATGATGGTTTCCAGGTTCATCCACATCCCTGCAAAGGACATGATCTCATTCCTTTTTATGGCTGCATAGTATCCCCTGGTGTTTATGTACCACATTTTCTTTATCCAGTCTATCATTGAGGGGCATCTAGGTTTGTTCTATGTATTTGCTGTTGCAAATAGTTCTGCAATAAACATATAAGTGCATGTGTCTTTATAGTAGAAAAATTTATATTCCTTTGGGTATATACTCAGTAATGGGATTGCTGGGTTATATGGTATTTCTGGTTCTAGATCCTTGAGGTATCACCACACTGTCTTCCACAATGGTTGAACTAATTTACACTCCCACCAACAGTGTAAAAGCAATCCTATTTCTCCACAGCCTCGCCAGCATCTATTGTTTCCTGACTTTTTAATAATCGCCATTTTCACTGGTGTGAGATCGTATCTCATTGTGGTTTTGATTTGCATTTCTCTGATGATCAGTGATGTTGATCTTTTTTTCATGCTTCTTGGCCACGTAAATGTCTTCTTCTGGGAAGTATCTGTTCATATCCTTTGCCTGCTTTTTGATTTTTTTTTCTTGTAATATGAATAAGTTCACTGTAAATTCTGGATATTACACCATGTTCAACATACGCAAATCAATAAATGTAATCCATCACATAAACAAACCAAAGACAAAAACCACGCAATTATCTCAATAGATGCAGAAATAGCCTTTGATATAAAATTCAACATATATTCATGTTAAAAACTCTCAATATACTAGTTATTGATGGAACATATCTCAAAATAATAAGAGCTATGTAAGACAAACACAAAGCCAATATCATATTGAATGAAAACCGGTACAAGAAAAGGATGCCCTCTCTCACCACCTGTATTCAACATAGTATTGGAAGTTCTGGTGAGGGCAGTCAGGGAAGAAAATGAAATAAAGCGTATTCAAATAAGAAGAGAGGAAGTCGTCTCTGCAGATGACATGATTTTATATTTAGAAAACCCCATGATATCAGCCCCAAAACTTCTTGAACTGATAAGCAACTTCAGCAGAGTCTCAGGAAACAAAATCAATGTGCAAAAATCACAAGCATTCCTTATGCCAACAATAGACAAGTAGAGAGCCAAATCATGAATGAACTCCCATTCACAATTGCTACAAAGAGAATAAAATACCTAAGAATACAGCTAAAAGGGATGTGAAAGACCTTTTCAAGGAGAGCTACAAACCACTGCTCAAGGAAATAAGAAAGGACACAAGCATATGGAAACACATTCTATCCTCATGGATAGGGAGAATCAATGTCATGAAAATGGCCATACTGCCCAAAGTAATTTATAGATTCAGTGCTATTTCCATCAAATTACCATTAACATTCTCCACAAAATTAGAAAAAACTATTTTTAATTTCATATGGGATCAAAGAAGACCCCATATAGCCAAGACAATCCTAAGCAAAAAGAACAAATCTGGAGGCATCACGCTACCTGACTTCAAACTATACTACAAGGCTATAGTAACCTAAACAGCATGGTACTGGTACTAAAACAGACATATAGACCAAAGGAGCAGAACGGAGAGCTCAGAAATAACACCACACATCTATAACCATCTGATCATCGACAAGCCTGACAAAAATGAACAATGGGGAGAATATCTCCTATTCAGTAAATGGTGCTGGGAAAACTGGCTAGCCTTATGCGGAAAACTCAAACTGGACCCCTTGCTTACACCTTATACAAAAAACTATCTCAAAATAGATTAAAGACTTATATGTAAAACCCAAAACCATAAAAACTCTATAAGAAAACTTAGGCAATACCATTCAGGACATAGGCATAGGCAAAGACTTTATGACAGAAACACCAAAAGCAATTTCAACAAAAGCCAAAATTGACAAATGGGATCTAATTAAACTAAATAATTTTGCACAGCAAAAGAAACTATCATCAGAATGAACAGGTGACCTACATAATCCAAGAGAAGTTTTGCAATCTGCCCATCTCACAAAGTCATTTTCTAAAAACTATCTTCACAATGGGTTGATCAAAAAGTAGTATCAGAACAAGAAGATAACCTTGAGAGCTACTGCAATAAGCTGAATGCATAAAGTGTGAGAGTCCTGAGCCAAATTTGTGGCACCAAGAATTGAAAGTCAGAAATAATTATGAATGACAAAAAAGAGAATACTCAAGTTTTTATATTTTATTTGCTATGGAAGATGAAGAAAAGGTAATGATTTGGACTATTTAAAGTTTTCAAGTCTGAATGACTGACTCATATGTAGTACATTTGAAATATCAGAATAGGTATGAGTTTGGAAGTACATGATGAATTTTATTGTGGATGTGCTGCACTTGAGGGTACTAGAAAAATGTTCAGCTGGAAATGTCTTATACGTGATTGAAAATGAAGTAAAAGTTTGATGAAAAGTCAAGTTTAAAGATAGAACTTTAGGGACTCATTTTTGTGGATGTAATAGTCAATATTGTAAGATTATACGGAAGTCCTAGAAAGCAAAGAGTGGAGTCAAAAACATAAACCTCGGGAAGGCACACACCTAAAGAGTGAAAGCAACAAAGGAAAGAGTGAAAGCAAGAAAGGAAAGAGTGAAGGCAATATTTTCCACCAAGATCTGTTCTTCACTCTGTCTCTTACTCTGTGTAGAGACTTAAGGAACATTATTTCGAATTTCATACAATACACTGAATGTGTGAATCTGTGGAGCTTTGTCATACATGTTTAAGACACTTCAGTTGAAATAAAATGAAGAGGCAAACAGAAAGTTAAAAACAGAAATAAATGCAGATCTGTAGGAAAAATAATTCCAAGAGTGAAACCCTACATTGCAAATTCTGGCAGAGAGGATGTTAAGAAAATCAACATGAAAATATCATTGAATTTGGTGATGAGAATGTGATTAGTGACCTTTCAGACAACCGTGTGAGTATATTCAAATGCAGCAAAGTAGCAGAAAAATAGCATTTCTAGAATTTATATCTGTACCAGCAAAATTTATCTCTTCTATATATGCTCATTCATGTTTTATATGGCATATCAGTATCATTAACCTTTTGTCCTCATTTAATTAGAGAAACTGAGGCATGGAGTCAAGATACAGTTTACAAATATTAGACTAAAGGACAGAATTTAAAATTTGGCATACTATTCCTTGGATATCAAACTAAATGTCCTTCATTTATTGCCACTGTGACAAGCACTTCTTCTTTATGATGTGAACAGCTCATGCATGTAGTTAAATGGTACATAAACAACAATCAATTCAAATTAAATCATTCCATTTTTAGATGTAAAACCACCAAGCCATCTCATATCACATAATTGCATAATTCGCTGTAATTACATAATGCTTATATGGTACTAAAGAAATAGATGGGCTGACATTAAAGCAAAATGACTTAAACCTATCTTAATATGAAATGCAATGATCACACTACTAATAATAAGATTAGTCCTAAATTTTGGAATTGTATCCCTTAGGAAATATATGAATTTTCCTTTACACAACTTTAAAAACATTCGGAGGAAACCCCAGGAGAAAATGCATTAAGAAAATGTCTATTTATTTGTCACATATTTTTAGTACTCCCTGATTAAAACTTCTTTATATCCTGTCTGCTGAGATCACAAATATATTTGGCCATAAATAGTAGCAATCTCTTTCATAATTAGCCTCATCTTTGGTGATTTATTCAGTAATAAAATAAGTCAGATCCTGGGACTTTGATCACTTCTTAGGGAGTGAAATCTGGCATCACCAAAAGCTTGAGACTAAATTTAAAAAGACAATATTCCTATGATTCTGATGCTGCAGATATTACAGCTAGAGTCAGAAGGGATTTTCTAATTTAGTTATAAAACTAAGACATCACAGCAATGATTATAGCAATTTTTGCTGGCCCACAATGTATTTAAAATAGACTCTTTATGATAAAGTTCTGTAACTATTGCTTTTTCAATACTGAACATAAGGGACTTATGTAAATAAAAACTGCCCACAAGACACATGTCTGGAAACAATAAGACAGCCAACTTCTTTTGGAAAGTAAAAGATTGGCCAAGTGTTGGTTTGTTCACTGAGGAAAGTATGTTTGGGGTCAGACAGAGTGCAATCTTCTAATCCGTTGGGGAGCAACACGCCTACTGAGTGAGAAACAAGCAGAAATGCTAGATTATGTTCTACAGAACCTTTCAGAAGTTTCCCACAACCCTTAACTACCACTTCTACCAAAAGATTTTCATATATTTTTGTTATAGAAGATACAATTTTTTTTTTTTTGAGACGGAGTCTCGCTCTTCAGCACAGTCCGGCTGGAGTGCAGTGGCGCGATCTCCGCTCACTGCAACCTCTGCCTTTTGGTGTAAAGCAATTCTCCAGCCTCAGCCTCCCGAGTAGCTGGGATTCCAGGCACCCAGCACTACGCCCTCCTAATTTTTGTATTTTTGGTAGAGACGAGGTTTCACCATGTTGGCCAGGCTGATCTCAAACTTGTGACCTTGTGATCCGCCTGCCTCGGCCTCCCAAAGTGCTTGAATTACATGCATGAGCCACCGCGCCTGGCCCTACAAATATTTTTATTATAATATTGCATTATATATATTATATATATATATATATATATATATATATACTGAAAAAGTTACTTTACCTAAATTTTTTACAGTATGCCTCAAAAATTAGTCATTTCTCCACTCACTATATTTTTATCAAAAATAAATTACCTGTGACCCTCAAAAATTTTGATTCCTGGAAAATTGGCTGAATTCAGTGTCTACCCCCAAAACTCAGTTTTTTTTTCCATTTTTTTTTTCTAATTTTTGTTATGGAAAATGTTGCAGACATAACAAAGTAGAGAAACTAGTATAGTGAACTCTGATGTATCAGTTTCACTTTTGTATGGTCTGTTAAGTGTACCCCCCGAATACTCGGATTTTTGCCTAAGTAAGTTTCAGACAGCACATTATTGCATCCATAAATATTTGTATATATACCACTACATAATAACTACTTAAAAGCATAAACACAACATTAAAAACAGTATTTTAAAATTTAAAAATGCCGCTTCCTGTGTCCATGTGTTCTCATTGTTCAATTCCCACCTATAAGTGACAATATGCAGTGTTTGGTTTTTTGTCCTTGCGATAGTTTGCTGAGAATGATGGTTTCCAGCTTCATCCATGTCCCTACAAAGGACATGAACTCATCATTTTTTATGGCTGCATAGTATTCCATGGT
Organism: Homo sapiens; assembly: GCF_000001405.40. Taxonomy (NCBI): domain Eukaryota; kingdom Metazoa; phylum Chordata; class Mammalia; order Primates; family Hominidae; genus Homo; species Homo sapiens. The sequence continues at coordinate 105,562 of NW_013171800.1, read as the reverse complement.
GTATATGTGTACCCTAAAACTTAAAGTATAATAATAATAATAATAATAAAGATTCTGATATTGGAGAAAAATAAAAATAAATAAATAAATAAATAAAATTTAAAAATGCCTAGTTGGTTTTCATGGGACTTTGATCGTGTTTTTCTTTAAGCATTTATTTGTACAAATCAGAAACAAAGTAAGACCCATGCATTACAATTTTTTTCCATTTACTAGGTTTTTTAACCTATAGTTTTTATTTCCATCTCTTTTTTTTCTTCTTACAATTATTTTCCTTTATTTGATTTCCCTGTAGCATTTTCTATAGTCCAGATTTTACTAATTTTACTCACTGACTTTTTTATTTACATTTTCTTTGGTCTTCTCAATTTCTCTAAGTTGGTAGTTAAATCTAGAAATTGAATCTGATAAGAGGTCAATTAATGGGAAGAAGGTATGATAAGAGTTATTGGATATTTTCAATATGTGCATTAAGTGTAGTTTTACTTTATTTGAACATGCATTCATCTAGTTAGGTATGAGATTAATTTAAAACAAGAGCTTTTTCCACTAGAGAGGAAAAATATGTAACATTAGCTTTCAAATGATTTTGTCCATAAATTTGCCCATGTTTTTGCCTGTAATTTCCAAGAAAAAAAAAAAAACTAATTTCCAAATGTATGGAAAAAATATCAACCCAGCTTTCATCCAGGAATTTTTTTTAACTGCTTTTCATTTTTCCTCTTTCTATCTGGCAGTCACTTCTAAAAACCTGAAAGTTATAAGTCTAATAGCTGTTGAAGGAAATCAGAATCACGTGAAAGTATGAAAAGCAATGGGTTAGGCTTGAGAACTGGAACAAGGCAAGAATGCCCACTCTCACCACTCCGGTTCAACGTAATCCAGTAAATCCCAGCCCGAGCAATCAGGCAAGGGAAAGAAGCAAAAGGCATCCAAATAGGAAAAGAAGAAGTCAAACTATCTCTCTTCACTGACGATATGATTCTATACTTAGAAAACCCTAAAGACTTTGACAAAAGGCTACTAGAACTGACAAACAACTTTAGCGAAGTTTAAAAATACAAAATCAATGTATAAAAATCCATAGCATTTCTATACACCAATAACATCAAAGCTGAGAGTAAAATCAAGAACACAATTCCGTTTACAATAGGCACACACACAAAAAGGAAATATCTAGCAATACAGCTAACCAAAGAGGTGAAAGATCTCTACAAGAAAAACTACAAAACACTGCTGAAAGAAATTAGAGATGACACAAATAAACAAAAAAAATCCATGTTCATGTATTGAAATTATTAATATCACTAAAATGGCCATACTACCCAATGCAATTTACAGATTCAACACTATTCCTATCAAACTACCAATATCATTCTTCAGATACTTAGAAAAAAGCTATTCTAAAATTCATATGGAACCGAAAAAGAGCTTGAATAGCCAAAGCAATCTTAAGCAAAAAGAACAAAGCCAGAGGCATCACACTACCCAAATTCAAAACTGTATTATAGCACTTTGGGAGGCCGAGGCGGGCGGATCACGAGGTCAGGAGATCGAGACCATCCCGGCTAAAACGGTGAAACCCCGTCTCTACTAAAAATACAAAAAATTAGCCGGGCGTAGTGGCGGGCGCCTGTAGTCCCAGCTACTTGGGAGGCTGAGGCAGGAGAATGGCGTGAACCCGGGAGGCGGAGCTTGCAGTGAGCCGAGATCCCGCCACTGCACTCCAGCCTGGGCGACAGAGCGAGACTCCATCTCAAAAAAAAAAAAAAAAAAAAAAAAAAACTGTATTATAAGGGTATAGTAGCCAAAACAACATGGTACTAGTACAAAAACAGACACACAGATCAATGGAACAGAACAGAAAATGCAGAAATACAACTGCACACCTATAACCATCTGGTTTTCCACAAGGCCAACAAAAACAAGCAAGGGGAAAAAACAGTAAATGGTGTTGGAATAACTGGCTAGCCTTATGCAGAAAAATGAAACTAGATCCCTACCTTTCACCATATACAAAAACTAAATCAAGATAGATTAAGAATTTAAATGTAAGACCTCAAACTATAAAAGTTCTACAAGAAAACCTAGGAAATACCATTCTCAACATCAACCTTGGCAAATAATTTATGGCCAAGTTACAAAAAGCAATTTCAACAAAAACAAAAATTAAAAAATATAACCTAATTAAACTAAACAAAAGCAAAAGAAACCAGCAAAAGAGTAAACTGCCTACAGAATGGGAAAAAGTATTTACAAACTATGTGTCTGACAAAGATGTCATATCCAGAATCTACAAGGAACTTAAACAAATCAACAAACAGAAAACAACCCCATTAAAAAGTGGGCAAAATAAATGAACAGACACTTCTCAAAAACAGGTGTACGTGTGGCCATCAAACATATGAAAAATTGCTTGTCATCGCTAATCATCAGATAAATGCATATCAAAACTACAACGATACATCATCTCACACCAGTAGAATGGCTATTATTAAAAAGACAAAAAACAGCGGCTGAGGCTGCAGAGAAAAGGGACCACTTACACAATGCTGGTAGGAATGTTTTAATAAATTAGTTCAGCCATTATGGAAAGCAGTTTAGAGATTTCTCAAAGACCTTAAAACACAGCTACCATTCTACCCAGTAATCTCATTACTGGTTATATACTCTAAGAAATATAGATCATTATATCAAAAGAACACTTGCTTGAATGTTCACTGCCATGCTATTCACAATATGAAAGACATGGAATCAACCTAGTTGCCCATCAGTGGCAGACTGGATAGAGAAAATGTGGTGCATGTGATGCATATATACCGTGGAATATTATGCAGCCATAAGATATGAAATCATGTCCTTTGCAGCAACTGAGATGGAACTGCAGGACATTAGGCTAAGTGAATTAACTCAAGAACAGAAAACCAAATACCACATGTACTCACTTATAAGTGGGACCTAAACATTGAGCACACATGGACATGGACATAGAAACAATAGACACTGTGGACTTACTTACTAGATGGGGGAAGAAGGAAGGGGGATCATGAGTTGAAAAACTACCTGTTAGGTACTGTGCTCACTACCTGGGTCCAATATACTCATGTAGTGACTCTACACATATACCACCTGTATCTAAAATAAAAGCTGAAATTAAAAAGAAAAAAAAACTCAGTAAACTAACAACCAAAAAGGTCATGGGTTATGATATTTTAAGGAATGTGGCTTTGTAACCTTTAGCTGACTGACATTTTGTACTAAATTTTATTATATAATATTTCTTCTCTACTGAAACCTCCCTATGTATGTAATGATAGATATTCCAAACCCACAAGATAATTCACTCACCGATTAAAAGGCAGGTCAATCGGCTCAATGACTTAACAGCAATTCTAGAGTTATGTTTAGAGCAATTTATGACACTGTTGGCACTCTTCCCAATATAGCTCAATAACTACAGACACCAAAACAAATTTCTGTTTTTATTGCAATTATTGACCAACAAATAATTCTGGAATTGGCAATTCTATTTTATAACTGTGTATTTTCCACTTCAAAACTTGCATTAGTATCATTCATAATTGCTAAGTTGTTTCTAGTCCCTAAATATTTGCTAATGTATAACTAAAATAAATCCCTTTGTCATGGGAACTCTGTTAATACATGCTTTTCCAAAAATAAAAAGTTCAATGTAACCTCAGGCTGTGCATCTTAACTGGAGGAAGACAATGATTTGCCAGTGAGTGTCCAAAGCCAAAGAATAAAAATGATGTGTCTTCTTGGAACACTGATTGTACCCCGAAATTCAGTTAAAATATCTGAACTTTTATCCTCTTAAAAAACATCCCCGCTGGGTGCGATGTCTCAAGCCTGTAATCCCAGCACTTTGGGAGGCCGAGGCAGGTGGATCACCTGAGGTCAGGAGTTCAAGACAAGCCTGACCAAAATGGTGAAACCCTGTCTCTACTAAACACAAACAAATAGCCGTGTGTGGTGGCACATGCCTGTAATCCCAGCTACTCGGGAGGCTGTGGCAGGAGAATTGCTTGAACCTGGGAGTCAGAGGTTGCAGTGAGCCACGATTGCACCATTGCACTCTAGCCTAGGCAATGAGAGCAAAACTCCGTCAAACACACACACACACATATATATCTCACATATATATATATTGCATATATATATCTCGCATATATATTGCATATATATATCTCGCATATATATATTGTATATATATATCTCGCATATATATATTGTATATATATATCTTGCATATGTGTATATATGTATATATATAACAAGAATGGGCAGGGTGAAAACCACATACTGTGTCAGATAGTATTATGTTTTATGTGGATATAAAATAATTTTTTAAAAATTTACACAACTGAAGTGACAGAACATTTCAATACTTTTTTTTTCTATTTGGAAATCTGTGTTAGGCAGAGTTCTCTATAGGGGTAGAACTAATAGGATAGATGTATACATAAAGGGGAGTTTATTTATTATTATTTTTTTATTTTTTGAGATGGAGTTTTGCTCTGTAGCCCAAGCTGGAGTGAAGTGGCGTAATCTTGGCTCACTGCAACCTCTGCCTCCCATGTTCAAGCAATTCTCTTGCCTGAGCATCCCAAATAGCTGGGACTACAGGTGTGTGCCACCATGCCCAGCTAATTTTTGTAATTTTAGTGGAGATAGGATTGCATCATATTGGTAAGGCTGGTCTCGAACTCCTGACCTCAGGTAATCCATTTGCCTTGGCCTCCCAAAGTGCTGGGATTACAAGCACAAGCCACTGCACTCAGCCTAAAGGGGAGTTTGTAAAGGAGTATTGACTCATGCAATCACAAGGTGAGGTCCCACAATGGGCCATCTGCAAGTAGAGGAGAAAGGAAGACAGTCCGAGTGCCAAAGCTGAATAACTTGGAGTCTGATGTTCGAGGGCAAGAAACATCCAGCACAGGAGAAAGACATAGACTAGAAGACTAAACTGGTCTAGTCTTTCCATGCTTTTCTGCCTGCTTTTATTCTAGCCAGGCTAGCAGCTGATTAGATTGTGCCCACCCAGATTAAGGGTGGGTCTGCCTTTCCAAGTCCACTGACTCAAATGTTAATCTCTGTTTGCAACACCCTCACAGACACACCCAGGAACAATACTTTGCATCGTTCGACACAATCAAGTTGACACTCAATATTAAGCATCACAAAATCTGATAAAATTACCATTGAAAAATATTAGAAGTGAGGAGTAAAATGGCAAGTCACACACTAAGTTTATCCTAATTTCACCAGTGTCCTTAACTGCACATCCTCTGTCAAGACAATCACAGCATTAAAATATACACTTTATCCATTAGTTATTTTTCCTGATCCTCTCCCTCCTCCCACTCTCCACCCTCTGATAGGCCCCTGTGTGTTGTTCCCCCGTATGTGTTCATGTGTTCTCATCATTTAACTCCCATTTATAAGTGAGAGCATGCGGTATTTGGTGTTATGTTCCTGAGTTAGTTTGCTAAGGACAATGGCCTCCAGCTCCATCCATGTCCCTGAAAAAGACATGATCTCATTCCTTTTAATGGCTGCATAGTATTCCATTTTGTAGATATACCACATTTTCTTTGTCCAGTGTATCATTGATGTGCATTTAGGTTGAATCTATGTCTTTGCTATTGAGAATAGTGCTGCAATGAACATTCATGTGCATGTGTCTTTAGAACAGAATGATATATATTCCTTTGATTCCTTTAGGTATATACCCAGTAAAGGGATTACTGGATTGAATAGTATTTCTGACTTTAGGAGGGTCAGGAAAAAACTAGTGGATACTAGGCTAAATACCTGGGTGAGGAAATAATTAATACAACCAACTCCCATGACACGTTTACCTATGTAACAAAACTGCATATCCTGTGCATGTACTCCACAACTTAATAGTTAAAAAAATCTATTTCAAATTAATAAAGATATTTTGGCTATGTTGAAAAAATCTGCACTTTAGTATGGCCAATAGTAGGCTTAACCAATTGACTGAGTAGACTATATTCAACCTGTTCCTTTGAGTTTAATGAGATCAAGTAACATAGCCATTTTATTGGTCTTGCATGTATTTAGGATAATGGTATCTCTGAATACAAGTAAACCTCACAATATTGAATATGAAGATAACAAATAAGAATACTTTAATCCAGGTTAGGCAGGTTTATCTGTCAATAGGATGCAAGGTATTTTCTGGTAATGCATCTTCATATAACCACATTATAAAAACAGAAAGAAATTTGTTCATTTTTTGAGCTGAAAAATTTTTTAATCTGTAGTTAAATACATCCCATTAGTAGTTAATTTTCTTCTTCGAAAAAAAATTTAGGAACTATTTCCTTGAGAGACCAAGCTGTGACTGAGAGGTTTTTTGCCTTACAGCAAGAAAATATACTTTTTGAGATTTCTATCAAAAGTAGTATGAAAGTATGCCCAAATGCCAACTCTTCAGCAACACTCTGTGCATCTCTTCTTAGAAATTCTCTTGATACAGATCAAAAAGTAGTGGGAGAAATACTTGTCATTTGTGTCTACTTATTTGGTGAGTTTGTATCTCTGAAATATGATAGCAAGACTGAGAAATTTCCCAATTGTTGGCCTTGATAGAGTATCAATTCTTTTTAATTGAACCAAACAGTCTAAAATCTAGAAACATAATAGAATTTAATATCAATCTAATAAACAGCAAGAAAATTACTCATGTCTAAGATTGAGTAATTTAAAATAGGTTAGGTTTTGCTATGTCATGTTATGTTTTCACATTTGAGTATGTTGTGTTACAGTAACAGAGTTAATAGAATAAAAAGTTTGCATTATTATTAATTTTTAAAAAGCCCCTTTAATTTATTTCTTCAGAATCCTAAAAATATGGATTTATCTACGTTACCATTAGTGACACTGTCATGGAAATGTCTGGGAAGCCAATGTCTATGATGTTTCATGTTTTTACCTAAGAGGGAATGTTGCCTAAGGCAAAATCACAGTTCTCTGACATTAGTACCTAGTATCTCTTTTCTTCAAAATTTTAACCATTCTTTGGGCTCTGGAAGGCTGATGCTGAAAGTAAGGAAGAGTGGATAATTCTAGAATTCATATGCTCTTTATTTGATTAGCGATGAAGTAAAACAGGAATAGTATTAATTACAGAATATATCTATTTATATTATGGCTTGGAATTATTTTTTTCTCAAAACAGTTGAATTATCTCTATTGTCACAAGTTCTTAAATTATTAAATATAAATTATATAATGTACATTAGTAGCAATCATAAGGTCTGTAAGTCATTACAGAAATTTCTGTTGTTGTGAATGAGTATCTTTGGAAAATAGAAGAGAATTGAAAGCATATTAGTTAAATATAAAGGAAAAAATATATCCAACTAAATGATAACATTCAGCAGGATGGAAAAATTAAACTGATGGCATCAGAATGTATTCACATTGAAACTGTTGCCATATTTTGCATATTTTCGTTCTCTATCTCTCTCTTACTCTCTTGCTATCTCTCTGATTTTCCAAGATCTATAGATCCCATATTGATTGGTAAGGTGACAGTCTCCCCACTCTTATTTTTAATTTCTAGTCATTTTATGAAAGTATATCCTTGTCCCCTTTTGAACATGTGGGGAAAGAGGAGTAATGTGTATGAATTTTATTCATTTTTAAACATATTTTTGAAAAAATTTATTAAAATCTAATTTACATATTATAAAATATACTGCTTTGAAAAGTTAATTACCAGAACTCCTAGATACTTCTGAGTACCCTATAGATTTTGTGTAGACATTATACTTATTATAGAGTTTTTATACCACTTTTATTACAAAAGTAAATTTGTTTTTTATATTTACTTATTTCTTGCTTCTCTGTAAATTAGAATCTCTTCTGATTCACATTGGTTTATCATTTACTGCTAAGACTAGAGTTCATTTTTTCCTCTCAATGATTTTTTTGTTATGCTTTGGATTATTTAAAAATAATTGAAAATATTTAGAATTATCTTCTTTCAATTTATCACTTTTTATAGATCAAAAACTAGCTCAACATACATTCCAAAAAATTGCAAAAGGTTAGGAATACCCAGCATTTCTCATTTCCTCTATCCATCCTATATAACTACCTCTTATATATCTAAAACTTCTATTTTAAATATACAAACCTCAGTCTGACTAGAGCCAGTCTCAATTCAGAATAGTTAAAAAATTCTTAAACACACATACTATAATATTCAAGATTTTATTTTAAATCAATCAAATATGATAATGTGTTTTTTTTATTCTTAAAGAAAACATGAATTTTTACTATCTTTTCTTTGGATGAAATCTGTAATTCCTTGATAAGCACACAAAGCCCTTCATGAGTTTCATTCTTCCTACCCTTCTGGATTCACCTGCTATGAGCTCTCCACATATACTCCTTTATGAGTTTTAAGAAGCAATTTACTTTTACTGAATGAATTATAGCTCTTGTATTGAATAAAACTTTTCAGCTTCTCCATCAACTTAGCTGGTAGTTACCGTTAACAGCATCCAGCCGAGGCCCAGACAAAACATACCAGCAAGGAACCCCCTTCCATAGATCCCATCAAGCAGCCTCCCCATCAGGGATCAGATTGTGGCAGGACTTCCACGACACCACTACAATGTGAATGATTAAGAGCTTTAGTACTTGCAGACCTTGAGAGGTACATGGCGTTCCGGGAGGCCACAGAAAGGTCAGGGAGCACAGGCAGAGAAAAAAAGAGGAGAGCGTGGCAATTCTCAGTATATACTGCAGAAATAGGGTGTGGGTTACATTAAGTTCACAGTTAGATGCCGGAATCGTCCGTTTAAAGGAAACATCAGGAAAGAGAGGAGCCCAGTCTGCTAGGCAAGAGAGATGTCTCCAAGTTCTTATCTCTGGCCACCAGCTAACGCCATTTGGATGTGATGTAGAACTGCAAACTGTGTCAAGGGTGACTGAGTCCTGCCTCTGGCAGGAGAAAGCTAAACCAACAGTTAAAATGAATGCCAAGGCAACATGAAATTGGAAGCATTCACTATACGTCACATACCTTGAAACCATTTCATGTGCAATTTTCTCTTTTGGAAATACCACTTTTTTAAAAATTCACTGGATTGCTCATCATTTTAGATAAGTTACCTTTGCTAACACGCTAGCCTATTAGATGCCCTTTTCTGTGCTCCCACAGCATCCCGTTTCTACCACCAGAATAGCAAGCACAATGATGCTAAAAATGTTAATGTTGTTGTCTCTAATATCCACAGTACATACAAGCATTGAAGCAACTGTGCATCACATCAATAGTTAGTAAATCTTTGCTGTTGACTGGATATACATAAACAAATTAGTCCACCAACATAAGAAGTATCTGAGATATGAAAAATATAAAAGCTGTTATTTACAAAATATGGATTTTGTGTATTATCTAGTTTTAAACATCCTTATAATCTAATTCGAAAGATGAGGAAACTGAGGCAAAGTGATATTAAACTCTTGGTTAAGGCATATAAAAGGTAGAAAAGTAAGCTGGAATATAAATACGAGAAGATAGCAAAGCATGCACAGACAGATATGGTTAAATATATGGATTTCTCTACAGAAATTAGAAAGAAAAGAACCGAAATAAATTTTAATCATACATTTTCCCCTTTTTTAAAAAACGTCCTCAATGTGTAAATTTCAACAGGCACTAAAGCATTCCAATTATCTTATACTCTTTATCTGATTTAGCTAGTTTTTAATTCATACGAATCTGAATAAAGTCACAAATGCCTTAGCTACTTACTTAACACAGTGGAATAATTTACTCCTCAGTTTTCTACATTATCTCTTAAACCTAACACAAATTCTTAAGTCTCACCTAACTTTCTGGATATAAAGTCAATGTTTCAAGTATCACATTAAAGAAGCCTGGTAAGCAGGTTTCAAAGTTGCCTCTCCATGATCCCTACGACCTGGTTTTCATGCCCTTGTGTGGGGCTAAATCTAGTTACTACTAACCAATAGAATACAACAAAGGTGATTGAATGCCTCTTCTCTGATAAGATCACAAAACATTTTGACTTCCTCTCTTTAGAAGACTCTTTCTTGCTGACTTTGATAAAGCCCTCTGCCAGTTTGCAGAGGTCCACATGATAAAGAACTGTGAGGAAGTGAATGCTGCCAACCACTATTGAGTGAGCTTAAAAAGTACAGCCTTCAACACTTGAGGCTTCAGATGAAAGTACAGACCGTAGGCCAATACCTTTATTGCAGCCTTGTGAGTGATTGCAAAGTAGAGGGCCCAGCTTAACAATGTGCAGATTCCTGAACCACAGAAAGAAGTTATGGGATAACAAATGTGTGTATGTGCGTTGCCTTAAGTGATCATGTGGCAGTTTGTTATACAGCAATAGATAACAAATGTAAGAGGGTATTCACTCAAATTTGTGTACACAGACACATGAAATTGTTTCCTGCAGGGATCTGGTGTGGTTGCTCAATGCTAAGACCAATAGCTCCTAGAAATATTTTATATTAAGGATGTGTGTATATTTAAGCCTTTTCAATTTAATTCAGCCCAAAATGTAATCACTTTGGGTAGCATAACTTTCACTGTGTACTTCACTTAAAATCGTAGGGTATAAATATTAGGTTTTACTTTATATGAAACAACCTAGGTTATACCTCCATTCATATCTTCTAACTAAACATAATTAATTCAAATTCCAGTCAAAGTCTTGTACACAAACACACTTCAGTAATAAAATTTGTTATTTTATGGGGATTGTAATTTTAAAAATAAACTACAAAAGTCAGGCTGTTATTCACTATGCCAGGTTTTCCTACACATAAGTAAAAGAGAAGGCAACCTAACTATTTTAGTATTTATTGTGTGTTAGACATTTACATAAATCATCTCATTTAATATTAAGAATATTTTTTGAGCAAAAGTAAGTTTGAATTTAAGGATACATTGCATCATACAGTTCCGACTTTCAAACCTATCATTATTTGGCTTGAGAGAATAAATGGAGAATCAGGGTCATCATTCTACCACTTTGTGCAATATTTTTATTTCTAGAGGATTCAAGTGACTACTGACAGTAATAACATACAGTAACCTATAAACAGATTTTGTGATGTAGAGACCTTAAGTTATTTTATGAAAGTGAAAAGCAAAAACAAAACAAAACAAAAAGACATAATTCTGACATCTCCCAAAAGGAGGAAAAATAAAGTAGCTAGACTTTAGGCAATGCTTAAGATTCTTATTTGCAATACAATTTAAATAATTTTCTAAACTTTATATGGCACATTAATTATACAGTTCTGGATGGGTACCGCAGTGGATTGAATCGAATTCCACATTCTGATATCTGGAAGCATGTGGCCACGAATGAATCATTTGACCTCTGTGCTGTATGACACTCTGGTATCTGGTTCAGTGGTTTGCAAGTATAATAAAATAGAAAGGGGTTAGACAAGTTCATCGTTTAGGCCATTTTTAGCTTAGAATACAATTGATGATCTGAATTTTATTCACATCACTGATAGAAGTTACTTAAATATTTTCCTTCCCAAACTTGTTGTGAACCAATCGTTGTTCTGCTTTCTCCATGGAAACTGGAAATTATTGAAGCATTGAGTGCTAGTATTTAAATGGTCACTCCACTAGCTTAATGAAATAACCTTAATAAATATCTTCATTTTACAGCTTTAGAAAATTTCAGAAATGCTGTGAGTTTTCTAGGAATAGAGGGCCCTAAAATTAGTGTCATAACTTAGCTGTGGCATCTAAACATTCATGCTTAATGATACCTATTAATATATGTTTATTTTAAGTTAAAGTGCTCTTGTCTTAAACATTTTTAAATCTTAAATTTTGAAAACTAAATTTTGAATCATAAATATAGAAATTATTCTTAAGCATTCTAAGTGAAAAATAATATTATTTAAATAGAGATCTTCAAGTCAGTGAACATATCTCTTAGGTGTGAGAATCAGGCATTTAGAATGCTTAAATAGTTATAGGCTTCAGGATTCTCCAGAAGCACATCCATGGACGTTGAAGGAGCAGGACCCAATCATTAGTACTTTGTGAAAATCAATTCAGGAGAATGTATATGAAAACATAGGAAAATCTGACATGGGGTAATCTATTCTGGAGGCATTATCTAATTCCTTTCTAAGGCTAATAAAATGTAATTGCCTATCCATACTCTTTATCTTTGATTCTTATCTCTAGGACTTCATGGGTACCACTAACTTAGGATTTCACTTTTTTTTTTTTGGTCAAAAACAGAGAAAATGAATGAACTTGGCATTTGCAATTAAGTACATCCTACAACCTTTACTAAATACCTCTCTAAATCTTTTCCCCAGCACATAGATTTTATATTAACCTAAAAATTATTATAACTATAGCAAAATACTACCACTCTTTTAGACCCAATCAAATCATGACATTACCTTATCTTAGGCAATACATAAAACAAATGAAACATCACCTTAATAGAAAGATGATATTTAAGCCTTTCTGGAAATCACGTTTAGAAAATTTATCATGATTATGACTTTTGTCTTATGTAAGAAAACCTCTATGGGTTTGTAGGGGTTGGGGAATTGGCTATGGAATCAAAAACCAACTTCAGCCACCTTGTGTAATCAGCAACCTCCAGAGGGCTGCCTGGGAGGCAGTTGAGCATTACTGCTTTGTGCAGTGGTGGCCTCACAGTGCTGTATTCCCAGCACTCTTCCCATCACATAAGACCATAAAGATAATTGGGTCTTACACAGAACTTTCTAGGCCCAAGTTCCTCTGTATGCAGAATGTGGTTATTGGTTCTATGTTTTCTCACAGAGCTGCTTTGCGTGTTTATGAGATCATGACTACTGCTTCCTTTGAGTTCTTTGAACTAAGGAACTCTATAAATAAAAGACGCTATTATTTCACCACTCTTGTTACTCATTAAAGAAATGGTCCCTGAAAATAGAGCCTTTCACTTGCTCTGTGTGTAAAATCTCTGCTGCCTGCAATGGGAGGGCTTACGCGATGTAATTACAGGAATCTGCCTGTTCTGCAGAGTATTGTACAGTAGCGTTCCAAAACGTTTCTAAAGAAAAGAGATGCTAACATCCACCCACACTTCACCAAACACTGTTAATGCAAAACACTGACTCCAGATGTCCACAGCTTGCTTCCAAAAAAGCCTCCTCTCAGGGAACTCTGAAGTTTAAATGTTAAAAAATTGTCCCTGAAGAGTGGGTATTAGGGTTTCATCAATAATTCTATGAGTACTTTTGGGATTCTTGATGACATTTTCATCTGCATTTTGTTTTAGGAGCTTTCTTTTTGTACTCTTTTGAATATAGAAAGATTAACAACACTGGCAGTGCAATTAATCTTGACAGGCCTAAGAGCTTTCTCTCTCATTTTCCTATTTTTCTTTAGTTTATAAAAGACGAAATTGGTGATGAATAGAGACAAAACCATAATGCTAATTCATGCAGTTTCCTGCATCTACAGTACTATTACAATACATCATGAATACATTTTATTAAAGTAACTTAAGTAAAATACCAGAGTATAATTTAGCAATGGGCAAATGATGTAGAGAGGCCTTTTTAAAATCATGTAACGCTAAGTATGGGAGCATGCCACAAGACATTAGTTTGAAATTATTTTAATTTTGTATTTATATATTCTGTTATTAGTAATACAGCATAGCATTGTGCTAATATTTTTCTTTAAATAAGTTTAGTTAAAATATAAAATGATATTACTGATATTCATTTATTTGCATTACTTTAGTTTTTAGAAATATCTGGCCAGAAATTATGTGTTCTTCCTATACCAATTATTAGCCTAAGTATTCTAAGAAGGCCTTCCTTTATCATCATAATTTCAACATTTTTCTATAGTCCATAATATTTTGAATATATTTTCACTTAGTATTTAGTCTCGTAATATGCATTCTATAATAAGCTACTACTTTTGTTGTAGTTCATTTATATCTGGGCTTATCGAAAAATACAAGGTGTTAGCTTTCTGAAATTAATTTCTAAAATCAGATAGCTGGGCAGCCCACATTCGGGTCTCCTGCTTCTTATCTTTATACTAAAAAACTCTTTTAATGTACAAATGTACACAAAAGTTAAAAAGTGTGAATTATTAAGAAGTTTCAAAAACTAAGATATTTAATCTACCATATATAAATGTATGGATTAGTGTCACGTCTTCTTAGTGTTCTATGAAAATTCCCGTATTGTCCTTATTTATTTTGTGCAATCTGTTTTTGTGTATTTGCTTATCCCCATCTCTCTCCTTTCTAACACCATTTTAAATGTATTTAAATGTTTCAATATTATAAATATTTGGTAATGGAAAAATTAACTAGACTTTTACCTCACTTCATGGTCTTCAAAATAACCAGTTAATGATTAATGGTCACAAATTGCAAATTTTTTCTAAAGTCTCTAATTAACATATATATGCAATATAAAAATAATATAAATGTATATATGTCTTTGTGCACATATTAGATTAGTAGTCACAATACATTACTCAGACAGAAAAATGTTGCCCAGATTAACATTATTGAAATATTTGTATTTGTGTGTCTGTGTGCATACATGAACATGTATTTGCTTATATACGTATGCATATATATTTGTTTTGCAATCCATTGTACATGCATTTTAAAACAAATATTTTAGTGGCCCAGTTCCCTCCAGGAAATCATCAGGCAACTGAAGATTACATGCAATACACAGCATGTCCAAATATTAATGTGATATTCTCTATCAAAGGACACAACTGTTAATGTTTCAAAAAATGATGCTTTTTCTTATAAATAAGCTGTTATCAACATAGCAGTAAAAATTAGAGAAATCAGATGCATAACTTTAGATTCGAGATTCTTCTAAAGTGATAATATTTCAGTCTGCAAGCAAATTATTATTTTAAAATAACTTTTATGATTACCTTGAATAAAAATAATAATATTAATATAAAATTCATATATTTCAGCTATGCTAAAGGCATGTCAGAAATGCTAAATGGGCCTTTTCCTGATTGATGTGAAATGTAGTTTTATATGCATATATATATGTTATATATAATGCACATATATATGCAAATCATGCATGTCTCTCTTATTTCCACACATTTTCTCTTTTTTATGTGAGTGTGCTCACTATATAGTCACAAGATTTTGGCCTTGACCTCAATAGTGGCTGTGTCAGAATAACAAGACAGCTGTATTGATTTTCACATAAACCAAACTTTGGAATTATTCTCTGCTCTCCAAGAACAGGTGAAAAGATGTTTTAATGAATGAATGAATGTTTGAGAAACTAATACCATTCACCCTTATCCTTTTCTCCATTTTCCAGGTATATAGGAAAGGCAGACTTACAGACACCTTGTAGCTCTAAGAAAGTGGTTAGCTCTGAAAAATTATAAATAAAATTAATGCCTATTTTAAACCACACACAAAATTAAATTTCAGATGTATTATAGATTAAAATGAAGTACAAAGTGCTTTACAATATAACTTAGGTAACTACTTTTTAAAACATAAAGTATAAAAGAATAAAATGTATGTTTAATTATATAAAGTAGCAAGTTTCTATATAGATTTAAAATTAAAGGGCAAAGAGGAAGAAAAAATACCAAACACATGTCATGCAAACAATTAATAGTTTTAATAAACACATTTTCAACAACCCAATCAAAATGAACAAAAGTTGGATCTATAAGTGTGCAAAAGAAAATACCAAAGACCAGCAATATAAAAAATTCACATCAATTTTATTCACAAATAAAAACAAATGAGATAATTTTTAAAATTTAATACATTAACAATACACACACACCCACACTCACACACATATAAACAAAATACTCCATTATCAGTGGTAGAATGGTAGCAAAGTCATTTTGATTTACTATGTGTGGGAGTATAAATTGTCCAATATATATATAGAAAGAAACAAATTAACATGAATCAAAAGGCATTAGATACATACTAACATTTGGAACAGTAATTACACTTCTACAAATACATTCTGAAGGATTTTTTCATGATGTTGGCTTATGGTATATTAAGACGCAGAACAATCTAATTTCTGACTTTACTGTCAAGAATACTTGAAGTTCGTTTTGAGTATTCAATAGAGCATAATACAATCCTTACACAATGTTTCAGAAGAACACTTAATTAAATGGGAAAAAATGCCCAAAATGCATTCTGAATTTAGTAGGAAACATTGATAGCATTACCTGAAGTAAGATGACAAACTTAAAGAAAAAAAGATTATGCCATTCATAACTGATATTCTCCAGGCTCAAATGAGGCCATATTAACCTAATATTAAAATATACTTAATATTTCATACTGCATCCTCCCTTCTTAACGAAATACTTTTCAGCATTTCTGTTGGCCCATGAAAGTGTCTCATTGGTACTCATGAATGAGTTTCTTTTAAATAAAAACTATGTCTATTTTGCCATACTTCCTCCAGACAAAACCCATTCCATCTTTTTACCATAGCTGGTCTTCAAGATGTAGCAGTTGGAGTCTGGCACCAACTACTGTCTATTAATCATCACCTAACAACTACGTAACTCATGCTTGGTAACGCAGCTCCCACTTGATTCCTAGCTGCATGGAAAACATTTGTTTTGTGGAAAACTTTACCTTCGCCGTAAATATGTACTTTCTTGCTTCCTCATGTAAGGCTAAGTTCCCTCAAAATAGAAATAAATTTTCATTCTAACATTTTGAAACATACATAAAAAGGGTACAATAGAAATCTACACACTATTCAAATCATGAAAAAAAATTCAGTATGTATCAGATGTTCTTATGATAGAAATATTATTTTTAGGTTTGAATATTTGTGCTATGTTTGTGTTGCTATTGTACAGGTAGGTGACTTCAATTTAATAAGCAATCATAATTTCTAAAAAGACAAGTTTTGTTGCAAAGCAGGGTTAAGAGAATGAATTTAATCTACAGAAGAAAAAATAGAAAGAATTTTGGATAATTTAATTTGCATTTAATTTAGAAAAAAATGAATACCACAAAATATTTTTTCCAATGTAAGTTAACAAATTCCTATTTTCTGCATTAAAGTTTAAAGTAAAAGAAAATCAAATTAAAATAGCAATGCTTATATTATTGCTTTGACATAGCGGGTCTCCAGTAGTAATTTGATATTTAAGTTAAAGAAAAGGTATTATATTACTTGGCACTTCAATAAATATGGCCAGTTAGTGGTATACAGCACACTAAACTTCAAAATCCCTATAATGCTTCAACGATGGTTGAAAAATGTGTTACAAAAATGTATACTTTTAAAGACATATTAGCTGAACACACTTAAATATTTAATGAAGAAATCATATTGATTTGAGTGGATTAAAATAATTTTATATATTATTTTAGATTCTGGACAGTTGTAATTGCAATATTAGAGTACCATATTGGTAGTGACTTGAATTTATTAAAAAATGGGACAAATATCCAGAGAAAATATAAACTATCTCAAATAAAGATAAATAATCATTAATCTCCTTAAAGTCAACTTATGTATCAGATGACTGTAAATCTTAAGTAATTTCCTCCTGATTACATGTTCCAGTATATTTGTAATATGTTTTTCAAATAATTTACAGCCTGGATGGGAGAAACCTTTCTGAAGATCATTGGAAACATGATCACTGTTGGTCATCGTAGTTGACCAGTGCATACAGCAGTAAGGGAAAAACAAACTGAAGACTTTCCTTCCTCCCCAATTCCACCACATTCGCCAATCAGTTTACTAACCAGAAGTTACTGTTTTTACAGTACATGTGTTTCTATGTTATATGTGTAATATTGCTATTAAATATGCATCATTCTGGAAGTCAAATTTATTTACTTTTTAACAGTCTTTTACAATTTACCCTATAACACAAACATCATCCCCCCACACATTTGGACTCATACATGCATATACAGGCAAAAATGCTGATAACAAAAGATAACTCAGTATCATGTGTAACTTCTACTTCCAGATAGAAGATGAATAAAATTTGGTCCCAAAATTCATTGAAATATTACTCATAGGTAACTTCATCAGATGACTCCAATTGCTAAAATCTGAACTTTATTGTAACTACAAAACTTCAAATTCTAACATTTATTTATTTTTAATTTTATAGATTTAGTAAATATAAGTGCAGTTTTGTTACAAGCATATATTGCATAGTGGTGAAGTCTGCATTTTTAGGGTACCTATTACCCAAATAATTTACAATGTACCCAACAGATAAATTTTCTTCCCTCATCCTACTCACCTCCCCCACCCTTTTCGAGCCTACAGTATCTATTAGTTTACTTGTATGTCCATGTGTACGCATTGATTAAGTCCAACTTATAAGTGAGAACATGTAATATTCAACTTCTGTTTCAGAGTTATTTCAATGAGGATAATGGCCTCCAGTTCCATCCATGTTGCTGCAAAATACATAATTTTGTTCTTTTTTATGGTTGAGTAGCATACACACACATATATGCACATGCATATACACACACACACACACACACACACCATGGGATACTACTTTTTATTTATCCAATCATCAACAGAGGATTGGATAAATAAAATGTGGTATATATGTATGTATCATGTATACATATACATATATACATACAATGTGATATGTATATATACATACATATATACATACAATGTGATATGTATATATACACACATATATGTGTGTGTGTATATATATACTTTATATATGGATACAACACATATATATGTCACATTTTATTTATCCAACCCTCTGTTTCTGTTGATGAACACTTAGGGGATTTCATGTCTTACCTTTTTTGAATAGTGCTGTGATAAGCATACAGGTGCAGATGTCATTTTGATATAGTGATTTATTTTCAATGGGGTAGGTACTCAGTAGTGGGATTGCTAGATTGAATAGTACTTCTATTATTAGTTTTTTGAGAAATCTCCGTACTGTTTCTTATAAAGATTGCACTAATTCACATTACCACCAACAGTGTATAAGAATTGCCTTTTCTCCACATCTTCACCAACATCTGTTGATTTTTGACTTTTTAGTAATAGCAATTCCTTCTCGTGTAAGATAGTACTGTGGTTTTAATTTTTAATTTTTCTGATGATTAGTGATTTAAGCATACTTTCATTTTTGTTGGCTGATTGCATGTCTTCTTTCGTGTAATATCTTTTTATGTTCTTTGCCCACTTTTTAATGGGATTATTTGTTTTTTTTTCTTTGTTGAGTTGTTTCAGTTTCTTGTAGATTGTATATATTGGCCATTTATCAGATGCATAATTTGCAAATATTTTCTCCAATTTTGTAGGTTATCTGTTTATTTTGTTGATTATTTATTTTACTCTGCGAAAGCTTTTCAGTTTAAGTTCCATTTGTTTTTATTTGTTTTTGTTGCATTTGCTTTTGAGAACTTTCTCATAAATTATTTGCTGAGGCCAATGTCTGGAAGAGTTTTTCATAGGTTTTATTCTAGAGTTTTATACTTCTGGGTCTTATATTTAAGTCTTTCATTGATATTGAGTTAATTTTTTATATGGTGAGAGATATGCGTCCAGTTTCATTCTTCTGCATATGACTATCCAATTTTTCCAGCACCATTTATTGAATAGGGTGTGATTTCCCCAGTGTATATTATACCACAAGTCTATAGTAACCAAAACAGCATAGTAGTGTTATAAAAGTAGACCTATAGATCAATGGAACATAATAGAGAACCCAGAAATAAATCCAGACATACCTACCATTAACTGATCTTCAATAACTTTTAAAATTTTATATGATGGTTTTCAAACACTTTTTTGCATCTTCTGAGTTAGTATGCTATCTTTCCCACTACAGTAATTCAAGCAACCCCTACAAGCATTTCAGAGTTGGCTCACAAGAAGGTACCATTTACCAACAAAGCTATTTATCCTATTATAACAATCTCTGCCTCAGAGTCTCAAACTGATGGCCAGAAGATAGCTAAAGGGGGAATCTGATATATAAGAATAAAAAAATGAATAAACACTAACAAAAATTGATATTTTATTGGATTTCAATGGAAAATCACAACAGAAACACTGTATTTGCCTTACCAGTAATGATGGCTAACCTTTAATAAGTATCCACTATGTACCAGGTTCATTTCAAAGAGCTTGCAATGAATTAAGAAGTTTAGTAGTCATACGCTATGAGGGAAGAAATATTATTGTAATTTTCTTTTTAAAGACAAAGAAACTGAGACAGAGGAGTTCAGTGATTTGCCTGAGGTTATGGTCCTGATAAGTGACAGAGCTAAGTTGCTGGATGCAGAGTCCATACTCTGAGTCTCTGCACTATATGATGTTTCAATGGCAGCAATGGACTGAATCTAAGTACATGTTGCATCCTTTAGTTATGGCACCCCCTGTGCAGCCCACCATCGTCCCTCCACTTCTACTTGTCGTTTCCTCACAGGGGTCAGAATAAAGTGTCCATCAGTATACTTGCATTTCTACTTTTCCTATAGTGTGTGTGTGTGCACGTGTGTGTATTCACACTATATATCATACATATAGTGCAACATATATACATATATATGTATGTGTATATATATATTTTTTTCAAATACAGCTTACTAAAATATAAATGAAAAGATTGAGTGCATTTTTAAAGAATGGTAGTGAGCCTACATTGTTCTTTGTGGATGTAAAGAACATTATTACTAACAATATAAGTAAATACTTGTTTTATATTATTAGGAGGCCACTGTTAACACTTGAGTTTGTCATCTTTTTTTCCATCTTTCTAAATATTTCATTCTCTTATTTAGTGAACATCTTTTTTTTCAACATCTTGGAGACCTTCAGTTATATGACCTTTCCTTGAGCCCAAATCTCCTACCACTCTTGGGTTTTATTTTCATTTTTAACAATTTTGTTAAATCCCTAATGGTACTGTTCTTCAGCTATTCCATTTCAGTCACTTCATTCTAGTCCCATTGCACTTATTCTGCACCTACACTGCCAAATCTCACTATTGAAGCAATCCAAAAATCATCTTTTTATTTTCCACTTTTGGGTGCCAAACTTACTCCCTTGCCAGATCCAATGGATGACTGAGTCCTGCATGAAACTCTAATTGATTTTCCTTTATAAAAAATCATCTTATTACCTCACAAGCAATTTTGTCTAGATAGTTTGCATCTTAGCTCAAAACCTCACTCCACATTTCCCAACGGATTGCTAAACATACAGAATTGGTGTCCTATTCTTTAGTCTTGTCCCCTCCTCTTCTTTCACACTGCTGACAGAGTGATCTTTCAAAAATGCGTTTGTTTATTCAATAGCTTGAAACATCTTGTGGTTGTCCGTGGCCTATAGAATGAAGGTCAAATCTTTTAACACCCATTTCATGTTCTGAACTGTCATTCAAGTTGTAACTACAACAGAAGTCAGTTTCTGTGTATAACATTGATTTGCTCTGTATCTTTAGAATATAAAGACCTCCTGTCTCAATTATACCAACTTTCTTAGTTTTTCTAATAGTTCAGCAGTGCTTGTTCCTTTTATAGAAATCTGTGAAAACTGCAAAAATATACAATATGTAGTCTTATTGATATGTAAGCATTTCCTTTGCAGAATTCCATTGACTTCCTTAGAAAGAAATCACATGCTTATAGATTCCTTCTACATATTTAATGACAGTGGATTTTGCAGAAAATGAAAATTATGTTTTACTTTAATTTTCTTTGAGAGTCCATTATTACTTAGGAGCAATTTTTCATATATATGTATATATATATGTATTTATTATTTTCCTTAATCAAATAATTTGGAACTTTAGAATCTTGAATTGTACTTCTTTGAGGGAGAAATTGTATTTTTTGCCTGGAGTGTAATGAATTTACTATTCAAGTCCATTTATGTATAAGTTGTTAGCTGAGGAAGATTGCTTACATCTAGCCTTGTATGAATGGTGCTTGTGTGTCTGTCATCCGGTTTGCAGCTCTTCAGTCAGGATTGACCTGCCCTAATTCTTACAGTAGGGATCAAAATATAAGAAATCCCCCATTAGCACCTCGTAATCAGCGAGATCATTCTCTTTTCTGCTCATAGGACATACTATTTCCTTCTTTTATTAATTTCCATAAACTCCAGTTTTACATCTTTCTGCTGAAAATCGACATAAGACCTTTGTGTTTAATTAGCAAGTACAAATTATCTATTCTAGACATCTCACCTTATTTATCTCTCAACATTCTTCTATTTTTTGTTCCTAAAGAATCTGACATTTTAATCCTTGACTATTCCGCTAACCTAGAACAGGTCCTGGCAAATAGCAGGTGCTCAAAAATATGTTTGAATAAAATGAGCAAATGGAATTCTGAAAGCTCTGGATAAGATACACTTCTACTGCTTATGGGCTTTTAAGATCTAAACAAGGTGAGCTAGTAGCCCTGGAGGAAGTAACAAAATTTTGCTTCTGATGAAAGAGTATTCAACATTTGGTCAACTTTCTTGCATTGTTCCCCAAAACACCTGAGATACATAAAATGTCAATTATATTATCAAGCAAGATTATTTATATAAAAAATGGTCCATTATTTATAAATTGTTTCTGGATTGTAAGAGGAACTCTGAATCTTGGGTTTCCCTAAATCCAGTGACTCTTGAAACTGACATGACTTACAGGTGTCCTGCATATGTATATGACATTATTATTAATATTTGTTCCTGAGTAGCATAGGAGTTTTAAGCCAGGGCAGATTTTGGATCCTGTCTCCTATACCTGAACTGTCTTGCCCAAGAATAAAAACACACATAGAAAGATTCTTTGGAGGAAGACAACATATTGGTTTCCCAATTATTTCTATAAATATTATTTCAAGTACAACTTCTAGAAGAAAGTACACATAACAAAAACATAGGCAAAATATGATATGAGCAGAACTAGCAGAAAAAAGAATCAAATATTTAAATAAAAACTTAGGATTACAGATATTTAAATAAATTGTTTCTGGATTTAACTCTTAACTTTGGGTTTTGTATAGAGTGAGAGATGGGAGCCTAGTTTTGTTCTTCATACGGATATCCAGTTTTCTTGGCACCATTAATTGAAGAGACTGTTCTTTTCCCCAATAGATGTTCTTGATGCCTTTGTTAAAAATCAGTTGGCTGTAGATGCATAAAATAATTTATGGGTTATCTATTCTGTTCCATTTGTCTATGGGTCTGTTTTAAGGCCAGTACCATGCTGTTTTGGCTACTATAGCTCTGTAGTATAATTAGAAGTCAGGTAATATAATGCTTCTAGTTTTGTTCTTTTTGCTCAGGATACCTTTGGCTATTCAGCATCTTTTGTGGTTCCATATGAATTTTAGAATTGTTCTTCTATTTATGTGAAAAATGGTATTTGTATTTTAAGAGGGATTGTGTTGAGTCTGTAGATCGTTTTGGGTAGTATGGTCATTTTAACAATATTAATATTTCCAGTCCATAAACTTGGGATTGTGTTCCATTTTCTATGTGTCTTACTCAATTTCTTTCATCAGCGTTTTATAGTTTTCCTTGTAGAACACACTGTCACCCCACTGGTTAAATTTATTCCTAGGTATTTTTATTTTTCGCAGCAATTGTAAATGGGATTCCTTTCTTGAGTTCTTTTTCAGCTAGTTCATTGTTCTTGTATAGAAATGCTACTGAATGTTTTATGTTGATTTTCTATCCAGCAACTTTAGTGAATTCGTTTATCAGTTCTAAGAGATTTCTTAGCAGTGTCTTTAGGTTTTTCTATATATAAGGCAACATGATCTGAAAACAAGGACGATTTGTCTGTTATTCAGTTTGGATGCCCTTATTTCTTTTTCTTGCCTAAATACTCTGACCACGACTTCAATGCTACGTTGAACAGAAGTGGTAAGAGTGGGCTTCCTTATATTCCAGTTCCCAGAGGAAAACCAAAGCTTTTCCCCATGTAATATGATGTTAGCTGTGGATTTGTCATATATAACTTTTATTGTGTTGAGCTACTTTCCTTTTATACCTAATTTATTGAGAGTCTTTATCATGAAGAAGTGTTGAATATTATCAAATACCATTTCTGTATCTTTTGAGATTATCATGCTTTTTGTTCTTTATTCTGTTGATGTGATGTATCATGTTTTGATTTGAATATGTTGAAATGTCTTGCATACTTGAGAGAAATTCCACTTGATCATGGTGTATGGTCTTTTTGATGTGCTGTTGGATTTTGTTAGCCAGTATTTTATTAAGAATGTTAGAATCTATGTTCATCAGGGATATTATTCTGCAGCTCTATTTATGGTCGTTGTGTCCTTGTCTGGTTTTGGTATCTGTCAGCAGTATGCACAATTGCTTCAATACTAAGTTAACCCAAGTGTCCAACAACAAATAAAATAATAAAGAAAATGAGGTACATATACACAATGGAGTACTATTTAGCCATAAAAAGAATGAAATCCTGTTATTTTCAGCAACATGGATAAGGCTGGAGGAATTTATGTTAAGTGAAATAAACCATGAACAGAAAGTTAAACACAGCATACACAACATATTCTCATTCATATGTGGAAGCTAAAAAATCTGATTTCATAGAATTATAGTAGACAGAGGTTACCAGAGGTTGGGAAGGGTCAGGGGAAGGGAGCATAGGGAGAGATTTATTAAGGAATAAAACATGGAAGCTAGGAAGGTAAAATAAATTCTAGTGTTCTATAGCAGTGTAGGATGAATATAGTCAAAAATAATATGTTATATATTTTCAAAAAGCTAGAAGATAGGATGTTGAATGTTCCAAACACAAAGAAATCTTAAACGTTTGAGATAATGGATATACTAATTACCCTGATCTGATCACTATAATGTTGTATGTATCAAAACTTCACAGTGTGCTTCATATATATGTACAATTGTTATATGCCAATTAAATAATAAATAAAATTTTAAACATTGAAATTCTCAAGCTAAAAACCAGAATGTTACATTTTCTCAGTGGATGGTTTTATAAGAAGATGAAAAGTGGACTAGTAAACTAGAAATTATGCCGGAAGCTACTGCCCAGAATTTAATTTCAATTTTAATCTAAAATTTCTTAAAAATATCAAAAGCTGACATGTTAAAGTGAAACTTCAGAATTGGACAGGCAAGAGAAAAATCTTAAAAAAATAAATAATTACAAAGATTCTCTATTACATGTACAGCTAGGTTTTCAACACAAATATAGGAAGAAAGATAATGGTGAAATGACATAGCCAATGTGTCAAAATAATATAACTGCCAACCTAGAAGTTTCTAACTAGCAAAAATATTTTTCAAGGAAATAGGGGAAACAAAATGATCTTTACATACGCAGTAAGGATTAAGAGGATTAAGAGCACATATTAAATATGTGGGTGATTCCACTAATTGATTGTATAAAACAATAATATTGGGCATAATGTTTATTTTTTATATTTATTTATTTATTATTTTACATAATATCTATATAACATTTAGATGTAACAATGTTCTAAATAAGTTATAATATGAATTCATTTTAATCAGTAGTAATTAAAATCTATAATTTTATAATTAATATACAGCCTGTAAAAACAATGATGCATAAATCAAAAGGACATAAAGGGTAATAAACTTTTCTAACTTTATATCACCACCCATGAGAAAAGTAAAAGAGACAAGTAGCATTAGACTTAGGAATTCAAAGATGAATTTTGAAAGTTAAAAGGAAATCAATATAAGAAAAAGAAACTGAAAGGATGTGCATACCTTCTGAAGAATATAAAGGTCATAAAGAGAATAGTTCAAAAATTCTGTAATTATAAAACAAGGCAATGATAGCCAATATTAAAATTACAGATAGCACACAAAACATCACAAATTAAATTTATAGATTTAAAAAGGAATGTGTTGTTTTCCTAAATATGAGTGGTCTAAATGTTCTAGTAATAGAATAAAAATTGTCATATTGTATTAAAAATATTCACACTACATATGTATACAAAAATCTTACATACATCATGAGAATTTAGAAAATTAAAAGTAATGAAAGGTAGTATAAATACAATTACTTATGTGCATTTAAAAACATAGATCATAAAAAGTTTAAAAGTGTAATTTCAAAAGATAAATCTTTCAATAACTCTAACAATACCACCCCCAAAAATAAATACTGACAAATTTTGTACACTCATGGCAAAAGTTAACTTTTTTCAGGAATTACTAGAAGAAACAGAAAAAATTTCATTTTAATAGAATTCCAATAAATAATTAACAGGACATAATTCCCATGTTACAGAACCCTATACTCAATAACTATAGAATTTACATTTTCAAGCATAGATACCATATTTTAAAATAAAATAAAATTACCTTATATAGAACATGTTCTATGATAAAGTATTTTTGGACATTAGGAAAAATATTTCAAAATAATGTAAGTTACATGGATCCAAAGAAAAGGAAAAATTTAGTGGTAATAAAATATTTTAATTAGTTAATTTATTAATGTTACTGTTTTCTACATTGCTGACTCCCAGATGCACATCTATTGTTTCAATGTTCTCTCCTACTTGAAACCCTGCAATGGCTTCCATAACACCTGAAATAATCTTCACAGCCTACAATACCCCTTATGAATGTCCACCTGCTACAAATCCAACCCCATTTTCAGTCATACTCCCTGTCACTCAGCTCCAACAGAGTTGGAGCAACCTCATTGCTAGTAACCTCCTTTTAGAGCTTTGCACATGTTTACCTGAAACCTTTCCCCTTGGACTATCAAGTTCACAGTTCCCATTTTCATTATTAATCTTACTGTACCATGTTTTCTTCATAGTTATTATTACCTAATTTATTGCATGCTTATGAATTTTTATTTTAGACTCCTTTTCCACTATGTTAAATTCCAAAATGACAGGGATGTTACTTTTTGTTTTGTTTTGTTTTGTTGTGTTTTAAATCTGTGATCTAGAACAAACCTTGGTACCTGATGACGGGTAGAGGCTTAATATAGGTCACGTGGTTCAGTTCTGAACAATCATGTCTAATTGCTATTGGAGAAAGTTTTCATCATTATTTTGGAGGTAATTTCCCACCCCACATGCTTTCTGTTATCTTCTGGAATTTCAAACAGAGAACTGGCTTTTTGGACCTCATTGGCTCACTACTAAGTTGCCCTTAAGCATTCTCTATCCTGCTGCCCATTCTGCTAATTTGCTTCTTTTTTTAATTTAGTGATCAAAATGTTCATATCCACCATTTTATTTATGTTTTTGTAATTCTAAAGAGCAATAGCTAAATAGCAAATCCTGTAGAAGAAATTGTGCCTCTCCAATATAAGTCTCCCCTATTCAAGCTCAGCTTTATTTCCACTGTGTCACAAGTTTGTAATATTTACGCAACTACTTAAATCATAGGAATGATTCATCTTTCTCTTATCACATTTCCTTTTCCTTCAGTGAAAACCTGGTAATCCCTAGACAGGTTGATCTAAATGTATAGGAATAGATTTCAGGAGTGACTGCTATAATTTCACCTGAAATAGTTAAATAGTTGATTCCAGGTATATAGTTTACAAAAGGATTCCATAACTGCCTTCCTGGAGAGGCCCTAAAAACATATCTGACCAGTTTCCCATTCTCTCACAACTTCTTAGTAAAAGGAGATTCTCACTATCTAGGGATGGTGGTTTAAAAAAAAAAAAGCATTTTTACATTATTCAAGCACTTGACAATTAACATGTCTC
This sequence comes from Homo sapiens, assembly GCF_000001405.40. Lineage (NCBI taxonomy): Eukaryota > Metazoa > Chordata > Mammalia > Primates > Hominidae > Homo > Homo sapiens. Next base: position 77,736 of record NW_013171800.1, on the reverse strand, counting down.
ACATACATCATATATGAATTGATTTCACATATTTACAGAGTTGCCTTATGAAATAATCTGAGGTTTCATCAGTACTCATTTCTGAATTCTGTCAGAAATGAACCAAATAGATCAGGTTGTACATTTATTGTCATTCACTTTTGCCTTTCCTTTGTGTGTGCCAGAAACTTAAATTTTCTCTACGGTTTAGTACATTTTCAAGATTGCAGCTTATTTTAGGATTGCAAAAGCTCTTTTTCTGACTATTCTAGTTAATGAGAGGTCCCTTATTCCCCAATCTTCTCAAGATTGTATCTAAACTCTTTTACACTTACAAATGTCAAATAATAGAAAAAAATCACTTATTGGAAAATATCATCTCAATGCAGATGTTTGTGATAGCATATTAACTTTATTCACCTACTTATTCAATAAATATTATGTATCCACTAACTATTCAAGGATTTAGTATGCAACAGGTAACAATAGTAGGTTCCTGTTGTGACACTTGTTGTATAGAAGATGAGGCAAGAAAGCAAGTAATTACAACACAATTTGATAAGTGCCACTATAGGGATAAACACAGGCTTGGGTAGCCAGATCAGAGCCACCCCATCTAGCATTAGGGAAATAAGCAACAACATCCCTAAGAAAATAATATATAAAAATAAAACTGAAGTGAAGAGAGTTATCCCAGCAGAAAGAAATTGAAATTAGAGGTACTGCCATAGGTAAATGAAGGATGATGACAGAGGTTGTGTTATGTTTGAGGAATTGCATATCAGTAAATAGGGCAACAGGTAAAGCAGGGAGATTAATAAAACATAAAATTGGAGATGCAAGCATGAGCCAATAAATGGACAAATTTTACATTATTTGAATGAATTAAGTCTATAAGTTAAAAATAATGCAAAGTCATCGAAGCTTTTCAAGTATTGGGGTCACGCAACCAAAGTGGAAATTCTGAGTGACAACTCTCTGTAATGTGGAAATATTGTACAGGGGAAGCACCCTGAGGCAATTCAGGTCACATGTGATTATTGACTAAAATCATTCCATGGGAATGAGAGGTAGAAAGACAGAGAGACGGATTTGAAAAGTTTTAGAATGTAGTGGCAATAAGACTTGGCAATTGATCAACACTGAAAGTCAGAAATTGGATAAAATTTCTAGAATATTGGATCAACCCGAATCAGGTGTAGTCAAGAAAGTCTGAAACAGATGTTCAAATTGCTGCACATCACATCAAAGAGGCAAGGTAGTACCACTCTTTGACTAAGAATGAGAATATGACAAAAGAACAAGTACAAAAGTGCAAAATACAGTTAATCACCCAAATGTCAGTCCTAAATAAAGGGCATCATTTAGACGCCTGACATGACAGGAAGAGAGCCTTGTTTTGTCAGAGTCTTATAGCTCCCATGAGATACTTTCAGGCAGTTACCAAAACCTATTGCCGTATTGGCCTTGAATTCTCCCTAATGGATGCCATTCAGTTACTGTTCTCTGATCATTCTGACAGAAAATTGAAGTCTGAAGAGACCTTGTTTGTTTGTCCTTTAATATCCAAGGGAGCAGCATGCTTCATGTTCCATCTGTGAATCATCTTTATTTTATCATCTTTATTTTAATCAGTATCTCCTACATAAGCTAAAAGAGAAATTGATTGAAGCTGTTACTTTGCTGGCAAAGTGAAAATTTTTATTTGCAAAAACCTCTGGAGAAAAATATGCTTTCTGCAAAGACATACGCAGAACAGTTACCTTTGTGGTATCTACACATTTTATTATTGCTTTCAACAGCATATCTCACAAAGTGACCGTGATGGTTAATTTTAGGTGTCAACTTGACTGGCTGAAAGAAAACCCAGGGAACGGGTAAAGCAGCATGACTTCTGGGTGTGTCTGTGAGGGTGTTTCCAAAGGAGATTGGCATGGGAGTCAGGGGACTTAGTGGGGAAGATTCACCTTCAATGTGAAAAGATCCCATCCAATTAGCCAGGGGCCTGAATAGAAAAAGGCAGAGAAAAGGTGATTTTCTTTCTCTTGGGGTTGAGACACTCTTCTTTTCCTTCCCTTGGACATCAGAAATCCAGGCTTTCTAGCCTTTAGACTCCAGGACTTAACACCAGTGGTCCCCAGGGTTTTCAGGCCTTTGGCCTTGGACTGAGAATTACACCATTGACTTCCCTGGTTCTGAGGCTTTTGGACTTGGACAGAGCCATGCTACTGGCATCCCAGGGTCTGAAGCTTGCATACGGTCTATTGTGGGACTTCTCAGCCTCCATAATTGCATGAGCTAATTCCCCTAATAAATTCCCTCTTATATATCTTATCTATTCTGTTGGTTCTCTCTCTCTGTAGAATGCTGGACAATGATACACAATTCAAATGTTAGTTGGGGAAATTTGAAAGTTCTTCACTTTTATTGTACAGTGGCACAAATATTTTTCTCAATTTATCTCCCTCTTTCTCTCTCTTTGTGTGTGTGTGACTGACATATGACACCTTTGCTAATTGATAAACAATAAGGTACTGAATTGCTATTTTCACCAGTTTAGTCTTTTTAGTAACAAATGCCTTAATGATTTAGGATTCTGGAATCCTGAGTAAGGTGAACATTCTTCTTTGACAATACAACTAGCTAGGAATTTCTTAGCTAGCTGAGCAAAGATTCAACCAAGCAACACTTTTGTAATGCGTATGTTAAAAGAAAAACTTCTGATAAATTAAATTTAATAGAGTTTACCTGAGCAAAGAATGATTCATGAATTAAGCATCACTCAGAACCCAGAGAGGTCTGAGAGCTCAGTGCAGCAAAGTGAGCACATAGTATTTATAGACAGAAAAATGAAATGACATGCAGAAACAGCTTGATTGACAGGTGAGCATTTGCCTTCTTTGGGCATGGTCTGATCAGTTGGCAGTCTGTGATTGGCTAAAGCTTGGCTGCTGTGTATGTCTGAGACTCAGCTACTTGCTAGGAGAATGTACTCTTAAGTCGGCTGCAGTTTGCTGCAGATAAACTCAAGGTATGGAGACAGCTTTAGGACATATTTAATTTAATTTAATTTAATGAGTGTATTTTTTAATAAGTAAAAACAAACTGTATTTTAGCCTTGAATTCAAAATTAGGTTATTGATCCATATCTTGACAAATTATTAGCCAGCTGTCTATTATTAAAACCCAGAAAGAAAATCACAGCACTGGAATAATGCAGTACCAAAGTGGGCAACTTAGTAAACCTTGTACATTGCAAGACAGTCTGCTCTACAGAAAGATTCGGATGCACAGAGAAAAAAGGGATGAATGTTAGAATTGCTGCTTACAGCAACTCACCTTTCAGAAACCAATGCAAATTTTCAGAAATCACAAAATATGTTTCCAAGACAAAGGATTTAGTAGGGAAGAGTCACCCTCAAGATAATAAAAGAGAAATACGGCAATGAAAGTTTCACTTGATATTGGGGATTGAAAATGGAGGTTGAGAAGAAATATGAAGTGTTTGTTATTTTATGTGTGTTTTGCAATTTAACATATAGTCATGTGTCACTTAACATGGTGGTAGGTTCTGAGAAATGTGTTTATTGTGTGAACATCATAGAGTGTACTTACACAGAGAGTATAGCCTAATATACTTAGGCTATATGACATAGCCTATTGCTCCTAGATTACAAACCTATACAGCACAAATATTGTTGGCAAGTGTAACATGATGATATTTGCGTATCTAAACATAGAAAAGGTAGAGTAAAAATATCGTATAAAGGATTAAAAATGGTATACCTATATAGGGCACTTCTCATGAGTATATCTTGCAAGATTGGAAGTTGCTCTGGATGAGTCAGTGAGTAGTACTGAGTGAATATAAAGGCCTAAGACATTACTGCACACTGCTGTAAACTTTATAAACACAGTAAACAGGCTATATTAAATTTATAAAAATTATTTCTTTCCTCAACCTTAGCTTATATAATTTGTTTCCTTTTAAAAACTTTTAACTTTTTAACTTATTTACTATTTTGTAATAACACAGCGTAAAACACACATTGCAGAGGTGTACAAAATATATTTTTCTTTATATTCTTATTTTATAAGCTTTTTCTTATTTTATGATTTTCATATTTTAAGATTTTTTTTTGTTAAAAACTAAGACACATATATTTGTGCATACACATTCACCTAGGCCTATCTATACAGTGTTAGTCTCGTCAGGACATTACTAAGTAATAGGAATTTTTTAGCTCCATTGCAAGCTTATGAGACTGGCTTTGTATATGCTTTGTTGAACAAAACATCACTACACGATGCATGACTACATTTAAAAAACCAACACCTTTCTTTGCATTTTGATTTAACTTGTTTAGGTTTCTATGAGAACAGTCATTTAATGTTAAATTATGAGAAAGGCAATAGCTATGTTATCACTGTAACTATAAAGGCTGATAATTTCTAAGAGATTAAAATTATTGTTATTTCTAATATTGTCCAATATAAAGCAGTCAAATGTAATATATAAGGAATGAGTTCTACATGTAATCTTTCTATTATGAGAATGTGTCAATTGATATTATAAATATACAGAAAAAGAAAAAAGAAAGCCAATAAAAATACATTCATTGAAGTTATAATATAAGAAATGTGTAGATAGGAAAATAATACAATTTTACTGAATTTTAACTTGATTTTTTTCCCTTTTAACACTTTACTATTATAGTAATTTTCCATTATTTTGAATAGACTCTCTTTCTTGGGAATATTTGGAGGCAGGGACACTGGGTTACGAAGCAAAAATCTAGATTCTTGCCTAAGTTCTGCAAATTTTAGTATGCCCTTGTCATTTCATTTTCCTACATCCAGTGTCCTCACTTCTTATAAAAGAGGGTTGAATCAAATAAACACACAAATCTCTACTAGCTTTTTTATTTTCTACGTACCAGAATGTTATATAATTATTTTATACTTAAACTGTTTCATTTCCTTAATTGAAAGTATTCATTTTTATTTTCCCATGAAATAACATATTAATAGGTGGGATTATTATAATAGAGAACATACTAAAACTTTCAATGCAATGATTGATAAACAATGATGCCAGGAAGTACAATTGGATGTAAAGGAGATTGGTACAGAGACTGTAACAATTATCTGAATGACATCTAACACTCCTTACCTATTAAAATTTCAGAAGACACAAATTTTCAGTACCTATTTCATCGGTTTGTTACGAGACTATTTCACAGTAACACACTTAAAGTGCCAGTATAGAAATTGCCATATAACAAGCAGTGAATGAGAGCTTGTATCTACTCAAAATACCTGGAGGGATGAAATTCAAAACTTACTGGTTTCTTCTTATAATTCCTGTATACCTAGGGAATTTGGTTACTGGTTCAGTATTTGGTATATGTGCTTCTTTGCAAAACATGCATGGCAACTTTTCATTTTTACCAGGTGTGAAACAAAAATAAAACATCTCAACTTCTATCACATCAATAAAAAGGAGTTTGATATTTATAAAATAAGAAGGAGAGGTCGGGCACGGTGGCTCATGCCTGTAGTCCCAGCACTTTGGGAGGCTGAGGCAAGTGGATCACGAGGTCAGGAGTTCAAGACCAGCCTCACAAAAATGGTGAAACCCCGTCTCTCCTAAAAATAAAACAATAAAAATAAAAATAAATAAAAAAAAATTTGCCGGGTGTAGTGGCACCGTGCCTGTAACCCCAGCTACTCAGGAGGCTGAGACAGAGAACTGCTTAAACCCAGGAAGTGAAGGTTGCAGTGAGCCAAGATCATGCCACTGCACTCCAGGCTGGGTGACAGAGCAAGAACTATGTCTATTAAAAAAAGAAAAAAAAAAAGAAAAGAAAAAAAAAAAGGAGAACTGCAAATTTACAAGCTAAACCAAGAAATAAGATTCTCCTATCTTGTCAATAGACTAGCATTATTTTTCTATTACTGCAGCAAACTGTTCTTTGTTACAGTCTCCAACCAAAGGATTATATGCTGGAAGAGGAGCTCATAAGTGATTCTGACCTGGAGAGAGGTGTATGCATTTCAGGTTTTGGTGGAGCACAAGATAACCCACCAAAGTCTTCTGGTCTCCTATTTGATTTGCCACGATTGACTTGCTTCTTATAGCAGAACTGTAGCTTCTCTCAGGATCTTGTTTGTTCATGCTTCCTGGGGAAACTTAAAAGTGAAAGGTTACTGGAATGAATTAAAGCCTTCTCTGCTGCAGTTGGCCTGAAAGCTGAAACAAATACTATTTCTTCTCCATTGTTCACCATCCATTCAGATTCTTCTGGTGCTCAACAAGGAACTGATAGGATGACCAAGACTAATGAGCGACTGGTTACTAAGTCTTTTTCAAACCACACTCTTTCATGCCTATTTACTGTTTAAACTAGGAGCCTCAAGAGACACCCTGGCAATTTTCCTTACCACTGGTCGTACTCCTCTTGGTCACTCTTCGGAATGGTATCAACTGCTGGCAAAAAGATCCCCAGGCTGAGGTTAGTTGAAGGCTCAGTTCCCGCTACATTCAGGTCAGCTTCTCCCTTTTCCAAATATTGACTCCATTTCTTCACAAGTGTGTCTCCAGAGAAAAGTCTCTAATAAACCCATACAAAATTTCTCCTTTCAGTCTGTTTCCAGGGAACACAGCATAAAATAAAATCATATCAAAGTATTAAACAGAGCAAAAAGCCATTACAGTTATATAATTTCTACACATTTAATTATTGTTTGTTTTATTAGCAAGTCACAGAAAAGCTATAGTAATGACAGCATTTTAAATTTTAAATGGGACTATGAACTCCTCTAAAATTTTCAAATAAAATTTTATTTATAAAATTGGTCATTTAGAATTGCCTCTCAGTTGCATAGAGTAAAACACTGGCTCATTTTGAGTTGTAATAACACATCAAATACATGTTAAGTGTCAAAACTTAATATCTCAATAGTGTGCCTACTGTTAGCAAGTAACAACATTTAGTCTGATCTCTAAATCAGATATGAGTATGTATTGCGACTCCTAATTGACATTAAGAATAGACGATCATGCAAATAATTAAAAATGCTACGTTTGGAAGAAAAATTTATTTCAAGTCGTTTGGTCCTTATGAAATAATGTGATATTTGACGCATTTCTTTTTCTCGCTGAACTGTCACCAAGTGGAACTTTCTCCAATAATTGAGGATTTTCTAATGTCCTTTTGGTAATTAAAAACTTTGCCATTTTTTCAGTAAAAAATAATTTTACAACACCCTTGTAAACGCATATTGTATCTTTAATACTGCCATTTCTCATTTCACTTCTCTCCTATCCACTCAACTTTTAAAAATAAAAAGATATGGCCGGGTGCAGTGGCTCATGCCTGTAAATCCCAGCACTTTGGGAGGCCGAGGCGGGCGGATCACGAGGTCAGGAGATCGATCGAGATCATCCTGACTAATACGGTGAAACCTCGTCTCTACTAAAAAAATACAAAAAATTAGCCGGGTGTGGTGGCGGACGCCTGTAGTCCCAGCTACTCGGGAGGCTGAAGCAGGAGAATGGCGTGAACCCGGGAGGTGGAGCTTGCAGTGAGCCGAGATCACGCCACTGCACTCCAGCCTGGGCGACTGAGCAAGAGCCCATCTCAAAAATTAAAAAAATAAAAAAATAAAAAGATATCTGTAGATTTCAATTGTGTCTAACGACAAATTTCAATTCAGGCAAAACTGTAATGTGGGAAAACAGAGAAAAAAAATGGAGTAAATTTTCTGTAACATCATCCCATGTGTCTTTCTCCCTCCGTTCTCATCAGGACACACTCTCCTCATGTGTCTAAGGCTTCTCATGTTGTTCTAGACCTTTCATCCAAGATTAAATTAATCCAATAAGTATAAAACACATAGGTTTGGATGGAGAGCCCTGTAATTTTTTTTGCTAAGTTGATTTCTACCCAGTTTAATTTGCTTCACTTTACTTAAAAATCATTGTATACCAAAGTGTAATAAATGTAGTGCCTTTACCATTTTAGAGGTATTTGCATTGCAATAAAGGATCATAAGGGAAAAAAACAATTTTTAAAGTTCAGAGATAAATTTTTGCTTATCGAATTTTAGACATTAAAGAGATTTATTTGAGAAGGATCTGTCTCAGAGCCCAAGTTACACTACAAACATCTTTTCACCATAAAGATGAAAGTTACCTCTTTTATTGAGTATTGGTTGAACAATGACCAATATAGTTTTCTGATAAGCTTTTGATTATCTATTTTAAAATGATGTAAACATTAACATGTCCTTATCAATTGTAATATTTTGAAGAAATAGTGGCTCTAAGACACAAGGGCATTTTCATCGGTGGAAGAAGTTAACTGATTTTAGCATTTATATTTTGGTCATAAACTACAAAACAAAGGGATTTTTGTTACTAATCTAAATAGATGATAAAAAGTGTAAAGCCAATGAATATAAATTATACAGAATGTTATTTGTCAGGAATTCTGAATCCGTAAGTAGCTGCCAGTTGGGCTAGGCCACCCTTGATTTATCCTCCATTATCGAGGTCCTTATCTCTTTTGGGAAAGTGTGGTATTGCCCATTTTAACCAATAAGGGGCCTTCTTTATCAACTGTCACTGGACAAAGGAATAGGCTTTCAAGTACTGACAGGAATATCAGAGACAAAATTTGGACATGAAATACATACCTTGCCTAAGTCTTCATGCTACAATCTTTGAATGTCTTCCTATACATTTTAAATGTCAGCTTGAATGGGTAAATTCTGTGTCTAAGTTTGCCTCAGCCTACTACTGGAGCAAAAGTCAGCTACCCAGATATTTTTAAACATATTATTATATCGACATATTATGAGGTGTTCCCTAAGCAACCAATTCAGCAAGAATTACAATTATACTTTGTGCCCTCTGGATAATCATCTATAAATACATATTGATATAATATCTCCTGACATTTGTCAATATTACCTATGCGATTCTTGGATGTTTTAATGTGAATTGATTAAGCTTAGCTCCATCAGGGACATGGAATACTTGGACTCCAGTCATGGATCATGGAATATTTGGACCCTAGTCATGAACAAGCTTTTTAAAGATTCAGTGTGTTAAAATAATAAAAAAGAAGTTGATGAAGAAAAGAAATAAAAGCAGTGAGAAGTGTTTCCAATGAAACATAATCCAATGGGACATGTTTTGTACTTTTTACAGCAAGAACCTGGTTTGTTTCTAGTCTTTCATATGTTTATCTATTCAATTGTTATTCAGCTCTTACCAGGTATTGATTGGCATGGCTCCTACTGCTGTAGATAGAGCACTGCTGTGGATATAGTGAAAATAAGCAGAAAAAAGAAACCAAATATCCATCTTCTTAGGCTTTGATAATTTCAGAAAATAAGCACAGTGAATGCAATAAAACAGTATAAGATAGTGATAGTGATGGTGAGCCACTTAGACTTCCCATATACATCCTTTCCACTGATATAGCTCCAATTTTTGTGATAACCACTCCAATTATAACCATGAAAATAAAGTCAGTTGAAAATTTAGATGGTGTTGAATTGCAATATCATGGACAACGTGTTTCACAATCTTGTTTCCATCAGTCTGAGGTCACTGAAATGTCATCCTTCAGTATGGTTGTTACAGCCTCACAGAATACCCTTGTGCTCTGTGAACTAGAAAATATAGTATCAGAATTTGTCTTTCCATTATATTTAAAGCTGGGTAAGGAATCATCCAGCCCATTTTTCTTATCTCACTTACAACCATGAACCCAGATTTTCTCATCTTTTGTACACGTGATCGGTGTTTCTGGTGGATCACAGAAAACAGGTTACTTAATTCTTCACTAGAATGAAATTCTCATGGCCATCACTTTTTCACAATATCATAACCATGTGGAAATGCTGTATCTTTCAGTTAAAGATATATTTCTTGCTATGAGATCAGGTTGCAATACATATTCTTGAACCCATAATTTTTGGTGGAACCCATAAATTTCAACATTTCGTTTTTTATTTTTATTTTATTTTTATTATTTTAAATGTATTGCTTCTTTAGAAACCTGTGGCATAATTTAAAATATTTGTGAAATTTTTAAATATCTTACCACTATTGCTTTCTAATTAAATTTTATTTTGGGCTACATGAAATATCAATTTTTTAAATCATTGAGAGTTATTTTTATTGTCAAGCATATAGTATATCCTGGTAAAAATTCTTTGCACACTTGAGACAACAGGTGCTCTAAATTTGTTAGGTTTAATCTTCTATAAGTATCAATTAGGTAAATATGGATAAAACGCTGTTCAAATAGTTTATAGTCTTGCTGATTTATTTTGTATTTTTTATTTCAATTACATGTATTTTAACCTTGACTGTGGAATTGTTTATTCTTCCTTTAATTCTATTAGTTTTTCAGTTCTATGTTTTGAAGATATATTATTATGCGCAAATGTATTTTTTAACTGTGTCTTAACATTTGGTCATTTTACAAAATATTCCTTTTTCTTACCAACAATAATGATTGTTATGAACTCTACTGCTTTTGATATTATTATAGATATTTTATTTTTCATATGACTATATTTTATAATTATGATATTTCATGCTTTGATTCTCATCTTGAGTCTTTAATATTTAGTGTACAACTATTATAGACAGGATACACTTGAGTCGTGATGTTTTTGTCCAATATTAAAATCTCTGCCTTTTAATTTGTATGTTTATCAATAATTAATGTAATTACTAATATAGATAGAGTTATTAGTTGCATTCTGTACATTAAAAGATATGCTGCAGTCCTCACTTGTAAATTTCACCTTAATTAGAAACAAAGCCTTTACAGGTGTAAGTTAAGATGAAGTTCTACTGGATTAGGATAGGCCCTAATTCCAATGTCTGTTGTCCTTATAAGAAAGTCAGTAATAGCCACAGGAACACAGAAAAAAAAACCAGGAGAATGCCACATGACAATAGACGCAGATTTTGGAGAGAAGCCAAGGAATGCCAAGTATCCCTAGCAAATACCAGACACTAGGGGAAAGGCATGGATGAGATTCTCCATCAGTCTCCAGAATGTTCCAACTTAACCACAACCTTGATTTCAGACTTCTAGTGTCTAGAAGTATGAGAAAATAAATTTCTGTTGTTTTAAGCCACCCAGCCATTCAAGAAAACTAATGCAATTGCGATGAAGACTACTGTCTTGTTTTGTTTTGCTTTATGGTGATTTTTCTGCTGTTTTTCGTTTTCTGCCTTTTTTGTATTAATAAAGTATAGTTGGGCAACTCATTTTGGCTGTTTTATTGTTTTCTATTTGTTTAGTGAATGCATTAACTGCAATATTATTTTTTCACAGTCTAATTAGATGTAATACTGTGTAAATATTCATGTAAATTATAAGAATACTGTATTATAATTTCATTTATGCTGCAAAACTGTACTCTTGAAGTCAGAAATTTTACTTCTACATACATTATAAAATCTAATTTTGTAATTTTAATTCTACATACATTATATAAGCTAAACTTTAACATGTTTCTGTCTTACATAGTAATCATTTAAAGAAAATACATGATTATTAAATTTAGGTGGGTTTTCCCATATTTTCTCACAAATTTATCATGTCTGGTGCTTTAAAACCTTGAAAAATTATGTAACTTTCCACATAGTATATTTTTTCTCTGGGTTAAGATCTTCCTTTAGCATTTAATGTACTAGAGTCTGCTGGAGACAAATTATTCCAATTTTTACTTAGTTTAATTTGTCTATATTTTATCTAACTTGTGGAGGATATTTTTGTAGAATGTGAAATTTAGATGGACAAACTTTTTCTCTTTTAATACGTTAAAATTGTTATCCTCTTCTCAATTGGTTTTACTTTTTAAAGTCATATTCGTATTGTTGTTTCATTGCATGCACTCAATCTTATTTCTTGGAAATTTTTAAGAATTTCTATTTATCTTTTACCTTAAGCAACTTGTCTATGATGTACATAGGTATGACTGGCTTTTTGCTTGATCAGTTTAAGATTTTCTGAGATCCTTGGATATGCAAGTTATTATTTCTATTAATTTGGAATATTTTTGTCTACATTTTAATCAAATATTTCCTGTTTAATATATAATGTATCTTTTATATATAACATTACATATATGTATATGAAGAGAGAGAAATCACAAGAATGAGAGGTAAAAAATTAGTGTGTGTGTGTTTGTAGAGAGAGACAGAGAGAGAGAGAGAGAGAAAGAAAGAAGTTTCTAAAGCCAGTTCTAACTCTTAACTAAAACTATATAACCTTGGAACATTATTAATATCTGTCTATAACTTAGTTTCCTAATTTTTAAATTTAAAATATCAGCAATAGTACCTAGCCCATAGAGGTATTGTTAGAATTAAATAAGTCAGTATGTGATTGAACCAGAATAAGTCTTCAATATTCAAAATATTCAAAATTTCAAAATTCAAAATTCTTCTCAGAACTACTACAGCATTTTCAGTCTTTATAACTGAGTTGCTAGTAGTATATGGTAATGTGACCTCATTCTTATCATAATATCTAATATTTTACTGATAATACATTTATAGAAGTATCTTTTTTCTCTGAAACATTTTAAGCCACTTGAAGTCAGAGATGGAATGTTCTCTTTTTTTCTGTGTATATCGGAGAAATTGCTAGAGAGATTTAAGGATGTTAACAACTTAAACTATGAATATTTATCATATATTATTAAACTACAAAAACCTTGTAGTCTTGAAGTTGAAGTCAGTAGTGTTTCATTAATTATGTGGAAATAAATAGTAATAACAATTATATTAATTAAATATTTGGAACATTTTATAATAATTTCATTCATATAGTTTTCTTTGACCCTAGGGAGACATCTAACTTTATGTCTTTTTCTGTTTATCAGATTATTATTTTTCTCTGCCTTTCACAAGACAGAAATGTAATGCACTTTACATTTCTTTGATTTTTCCAATGCTTATTTTGTATTCATTTTTCAGTCATCAGCTCAAATATTTCCCTAGCAAATGATGTTTTGTAGATTCTAAAGTAGAAACACTCCTACCTCAACCAATTCTTCTATTCTTTCCTATTACGTTGCTTAAGTTTTGTATATTTTAATCGCTATCTGAAGTTATATTGTTAACTTATTTTCAAGTCTTAGTCTTTTATTTCCCATTAAAATGGTAGCTCTGTGATAAGAAAACCCAGGTTAGTAGATACAGTATAAAGTTGGCCCTCCTATCTAACTATAAATCTCTCTCTCTTTTTTTTTTTTTTTTTTTTTTTGTGGGGCGGAGTCTTACTCTGTTGCTCAGGATGGAATGCAGTGGCGCTCACTGCAACCTCCGCCTCCCAGGTTCAAGCAGTTCTCCTGTCTCAGCCTCCTGAGTAGCTGGGATTACAGGTGCCCACCACCACTCCCTACTAATTTTTGTATTTTTAGTAGAGACGGGTTTCACCATGTTGGCCAGGCTGGTCTCAAACCGCGTACCTCAAGTGATCGGCCCGCCTCAGCCTCCCAAAGGGCTGTGATTACAGGCATGAGCCACCACGCCCAGCCGGTAACCATAAGTTTCACATCCGTGAGTTCAACCAACTACGAATAAAAAATATTGTAAAAATTGCATCTTTACTGAACATATTCCCACTTTTTTCCTGTCATTATTCTCTAAATACAATATAACAATTATTTACATAGAATTTACATTATTAGGGATTATAGATAATCTAAAGATAATTTGAAGTATACAGGAGAATATGCATAGGTTACATGCAGATACTATGCCATTTTATTTAAGGGATTTGAGCATCTGTGAATTATGTCATTCTTGGAAGTTCCTCCTATTCTTGGAAGGTCAAGGATATGGAGTGATGTATATATATATATATATATATATATATATATATATATACATACACATAATCAGTTTCACATGCATACACATACATATGTATGTATATACACTCAGAAACATTTCATAGGTGAGAAGAAATATTGGGTTTTGGTTTTGAAATATTGGTAGAATAAAGATAGCAAGGAGGATAAAAAATAAAAAATGGCTTTAAGCCAGAAAAAAGAAAACACGGGGGAAATATAAATAAGTGAAAAATACAACTTAGCTCAATCAGATTCTTACTAGCACCTACAATATTGCATGACCTTTAGAATCCTTAAAAGCCAATTTTTAAGAATCTTTTCTTGTTTAACATGCATTACCAAAAATATTTTTTTAATTTAGTGATAAAAATCTTGCATCCTATTTTTCTTCAAAATGTCTTTGAATTATATAACAAATAACACTAAACTATAAAGCTCGCTCACTTTTAACAAGAAAAACAAACTTACTGATATATTTTATGCCATATATTAAAAAGGCATAAATATTACACATATATATAATTCTTCTGAGAATATTTTAAATTTTTTTCCAATATTCAACCCTTACATTTATGTCTTACTTCTATATTTTCCCCAAACTACTAGCTCACTTTTACTCATTATAAACTTAAACATTCTGTGAAACTAATTTGAATTTTTAAACAAAATTATAGTTCACCATACCCCTCACTAAGGTCAAATCTATTTCATATTCTTTTTCAAATATTCTAACTCAAGTCCTAACTGAATAATAAAAAGAAATTTTTTTAATAGCAGCATCTTGGAAAACTCATTATATAATTTAGTACAGATGTATTCTTTCTGAATTTGAATGTTTTAGTCATATATTATTATTATCTCTTGTATGATAGTGAAACATGTAATGCATAACATAATATATGGTTTTATTGAAAGTAATAGGGTAATAAAAGGTATGGTCATCCAAAAACCTCAAATCTTAAAGTAAGCATTAAGAAAAGACTAGGCATGATACTTTAAATTTTTAAGAATGTAATTTGCCTCAAGACCATATTCATTTCAGTTAGCATCCATAAGTAATTTAAATTTTCTTATTGTTTTTAGCTTTAGACTTGTTTGTCCACACATTTCTCCTCTAAAATGCTAGCAACTTAGGTTATTATCTTGGATGAAGCAGTAAACAAGATATCTATATACCATTAAGAAACTCTTTGACTTAGAATTAAAAAATGTTATGTGTCTATGCAAAGATCATTATCATTTTTGTCCTTTTTGTTGTTCTGTGTATCCAGGTATTAAACAATGCCTAAAACTTTGCCATAACTTTCCAAACTATTTCTAAACTTACAAAAGTGTATAATATTGGTTTCAAAACCCAACTATTAGAAAATATTAGCACAGAATTTAATTTTACTATATAGAAGTCTAAAAATGTTTGTGCCTATGGCTTATAGTTATGCTAGGGCATTGAGTAAGGTAAATGGCTGTGTATTAACTCAAGACAGCCTCATTCCATTGTTGCATGTACCATGGTTTGTAGTCTTGATATCTGCCTCATTGATCGGTGTCTTAGTCAATTCAGGGTGATAAAACAGAAAACCGTAGACTGGGTTGGCTGAAACAACGTAAGTTTATTTCTTCCAATTCTGGAGGCTACGAAGTCCAAGATCAAGGCCCAGGCAGATCAGTCGTCTGGGGAGGGCCTACTTCCTGATTTTCAAATGACTGTCTTCTCAGTATATTGTCACATGGTAGAGATCAGAGAGAGAGAAAATAAAAGCTTCCTTGTGCCTTTTTATAATGTCATGTCACAAAAGCCATTTATGAGGGCCCCACCTTTATGACCTAAATACTTCCCAAAGATTCCACTCCCTAATATCACCACATTGGGGATTACAGTATCAGTGTGTAATTTTGGGGGCACAAAACATTTAGTCCAACACTGTTGCCAAACCCTGTCTCTTTTTACTTTTTCTTTCATGTGTGTCACCATTTCTCAGGAGCCAACCATACAATATTCATTCGTAAGTTAGTATATATATATGCGCCCCTCTCTTTCAGCAAATATTCGGCCATTTGGCCAGCACTGTGTATATTATATATATGTCACAATTGCATTTGGCATACTAGAGAAAAAAATAATGATCAAGCTACACTAGATTATTGTCTTCATAAACTGTATATTATAGGGAAAGAAAGAAAGACAAATATGAAGGCCACACTAATAAGAATTAATGTGTTGATTAGAGAGGTAGAGGGAGGTATTATAACAACATAAGGGAAACAGAACCCACAAAAAGGATATCTAGAAATATTTTAGATATGTGTCTTCAAAGATAGATCTGAAAATGGATGTAAAATAATGTGTTATATATACACAATAGAATACTATTCAGCCATTAAAAAAGCAGCCAATTATTTGTGATGACATGAATAAACCTGAAGAGTATTATGTGAAGTGAAACAAGCCTGGCACAGAAGACAAATACTGCGTGATCTCACTCTTATATGTGAAATCTTAAAAGTTAAACTCATGAAAACAGAGAGTAAAATGATGATTACCTGAGGCTGAAGTTGTGGGTAAGGATATTTGTCAAAGGTTACAAAATTTCAGTTAGAAGGAAAAATTTCAAGAGATCTACATACATCACAGGGATTATAGTTAATAACAATGTATTATATTCTTGAAAGAAATGAATGTGAGTAAGGAAAAGTTACTGGAAGAGAGAAGAAAGCATTGTTTTCCAAACAGAACATAATGTTACGTAAAAATCTAGAGGTTTAAAGGCACATAATGCTTCTCAATGGTCATCGCCTTGCTGATGGGGTAAAAGAATAAAAATTCACTCTGCAAAAGAACCACTGCTCTACTGAACAATGCTTCAAGGTGAATTATTAGTTCCTTTCTGGGTAACTGTCCTTTCTTTTAAATTTTTAATTTCAACAAAACTTCTAGCCATATTATTGCATTAAATGAGATTATAGCTGAGTCTTAGTGGTCTGGAATCCAAATATCCTTTTTTGGTGAAAGGCAATTTAAGAATCTAAATCTGATTCTTTGTATCATAAACTTCCAATTTAAGATTTAAAGTGAAATCTTATTTTGTAAAGTATATTATTATTTTTGTTTAGTTGTTTATTTTTCATTATTATGGGTACATATAGCCATTACATATATGGCACATATTTATGGGGTACATGTAATGTTTTGATACAAGCATACAATGTGTAATGATCAACCAGGGTAATTTGGGTATCCTTGTGTTAGAAAAAATCCACTTCCTCTCTTTTATTTACTTTAAAATGTATGATAAATTAATGATAGTTTCCCTATTGTGCTAACAGATACTAGATCTTACCCATTCTATCTAACTTTCATGCTTTTAGCAGCACTAATCAAAATAGCCAAGCTGTGGATTGAACCAATTGTCCAACATGGGATTAATCGATAAAGAATATGTGGTACATCTACATAACTGAATATTATCCAGCCTTCAAAAATTAATGAAATCTTGTCATTTGCAATAACAGGGATGGAACTGGAGGACATTATATGAAGTTACATAAGCCAGGCAAGAAAGACAGATATTGCGTGTTCTCACTTATATGTGGGAGCACAAAAAAGTTACACACATCGAGAACAGAATAATCATTGCCAGAGGCTGTGAAGAATATAGGGGATGTGGGGAATTGAAAGGGCATAATATTATATTATTTAGCGGTCTTTAACTTTAGCCTTTATGTAATTTTAGCATTCAGTATTCACTTGGAAAGGAATCATCTAAACATCTAATAATAATAATAATCAATACTCATCTAATCTGAATGGCCTTTCCTGAAAATCTGGCTAGAAAGTCTATTGAGGGCAACTATTTCATTACTGTGATAGAATATAAAGTTTTCCAAATTTTCTCATCTTTGTGTTATATTCTGTAAAGATCTAAAAAAAAGTGAAAAGACAAGAGTCAAATTAAAACTTCAGAAAATACAGATTCGAAAGAATGTAAATAACATCACTTTAGACTGAAGAGAATAAGAAATGGATTAGAAATCATTGTCATCTATAAAGAAGGATCATTTTGCAACAGATAATGATAAATGGTTTTTGAAATCCACGAAGGTATTAATACAATTGAGATGTTGTAGAAGGAGATTTGGTTAGGAGAAAAGGAAGTTTCCGTGAGTTAAAAGTAAGGGTCACAAAAATGTAACCTGTTCACTCAGGAGATGTATTCTATTGTCTGCAAGTCTTGGTCATGATTTCATGTTCAATTCATTTACTTTAAATGGTTATGTGGCTTTACTTGAGGACAGTAAGGATAATAGTATGATCTCCTGAATCCCTCTCAGTCCTATGTGTTCTCATATCTGTACAGCACCTGTTCTAGTCTAGTGACAAAGCAAAGAATATTTTGTGCACATACCCACCCAGTTTTCCTGATAATGTAACTTTTGTAATATTTTAGAAAGTGATATAATTAGTAATAGAATTAGTTTTCTAAAGCATATACAAACGATGTAAAAGCATAACTAAATATCCATTCCTAAAGTCAGTTAATTAAGCAAAGCACACAAAGCTACACAAATAATATAAACAATATATATAAAACCACCAATAATTTAGTAACAAATGTTAATAAAGGAGAATGAAGATATAACTCAAAATACTTTATTTAAAACCCAAAGGTAGTCCTTTGTAAATGAAAATGGGACATTGATCTGTTTCAATTTCTAATACCTTAGTCTATTTTACATTTTTTAACCTTCTTACTATCTCATGAAGTATTGGAATTTCAATTGCTTTGGAAAAAGAAACATTTGCCTTGTTTGGTTGTTACAAATTTATTTACATTATTAACATCAGATGTTACCTTAATATGGTTATAAGTTGAATATACATATTCACTACTAATTTTATTGCTTTAAAAAATCTTATTATAGAGTCTTACTATTTATATGTATATCTCTCAAGTATATCTTTAAGATATTTAATATATAATCATAAAACCATGATCACATTTAAAATATGAATATGTATCAAATTTCTAGATGATGTGAAAAAATACTTTGAGTGGCAATTAAATTTAAAAATTCAGATAACATAGTATTGTATACAGCTCAAATGAGGTGAAAATAATTGTTAAAATAACTATCTTTATGGACATGGAGACAAAGGCATCTATATCATAAACGCTGCTTTCATGAAATGTATTTAAGTTGAATACCAGTTCCAGAGATACTGAAGTAAGTTAATGTGTATCATAAAATGAAAAATATGACTTAGGTACAGTACTATAATCCTCCTCTCTTTCCCTTGTAATTTATTACATTCTGCGATTATGTATATTTATAGAATATATAAAATACTATAACAATATTCGTGCAATGAATGAATAAACTGTGGACCCTTAAAAGATCCGTACATTGGGTTAGTATTTTTTAAATAGCATAATTTCCAATACTTGACATCCATTTAGTATAGTCTAGTAAAGTGATTCTTGCAAAAAAAACCAATATTTTGTCATATCTTGAGGAAAATAACAACCATTAATCATAGTTTGCTGAGACGGTCATACAGTGAATAATGATTCTTAAATGATGGAACTAGTTAGGTGCCTTCTATGCTTGGTAATCATAAAACACAAAATTTTCAACCCTGTGCCTACAAATTATCTCAGAGCCTACCATCTCACAGGAACAATCACAAGCAAACTTTCAGCAACGTTCTTTTGCAGATACTGTCCATCTGCCAACTCAGCATCCATTCCAACCTTCTCCTAGTGTACATTTCTATGCCACAGAGGCCTGATGCTAGAATATGTATGACTCAGTTTACAGGTATGTTTGAAGTTTCACCTATCAGACTTATCTGTAAAATATTTGGAAAGCAGAAATAGAACACTCCAAGGTAGAATCCTGCCTAACATCTGCTGCTTCTGTTGTTTCCTCTGGCAAGTGCAGGAGTGACAGCATTTGTCTCCGTTGCCTCTCCCCTGTCCTGCCCAGCTGCTATTTCAGAGGTCTTAGTGCCTATTCTGTGGTTTTAAGAGCATCAAGGGGCATGTTTTAACCTTAGTTTTGCAGCTGCATGTTGGAGCAGAAAAGGCATAGCTCTGGACTGAGCAACTGTCCAGCATATTTCCATTTTAGAACAAGGCTTCCTGGTAGTGACAGAGGAACATAGAGCCATGATGATAACTTCCTGATTCTACAGCTTTCTGGTAGTTCTAGAGGCAGCCACAATCTTGGCAGCACAAAACTACAGTGGAAATTTGGATATCTTTCCTTGAAGATCAGTAGAGAATAGATTTCTTCAGTCCATCCAAATATATATATATATAATATATATTAAATACATACATATTATATATAGTAAATATATATAATATATGTAATATATATTATATATAAATATATATATTATAAAAATATATATTTTTTAATTTTACTTTGAGTTCTGGGATACATGTCCTCAATATGCAGGTTTGCTCCGTAGACATACATGTGCCATGGTGGTTTGCTGCACCTATCGACCTGTTTTAAGTCCCACATGCATTAGGTATTTGTCCTAATGCTCTCTCTCCCCTTTCCCCCACAGTCCCTGACAGGCCCCAATGTGTAATATTCCCCTCCCTGTGTCCATGTGTTCTCATTTTTCAGCTTCCACTTATGAGTGAGAAAACGTAGTGTTTGATTTTCTGTTTCTGTGTTAGTTTGCTGAGGATGGTTTCAAGCTTCATCCATGTCCCTGCAAAGGACATGAACTCATTCTTTTTTTATGGCTGCATAGTATTCCAGGGTGTATATGTGCCATATTTTCTTTATCCAGTCTACCACTGATGGACATTTGTGTTGGTTCCAAGTCTTTGCTATTGTGAATAGTGCTGCAATAAACATATGTGTGCATGTGTCTTTATATTACAATGATTTGTAACACTTTGGGTAAACCCAATAATGGGATTGCTGGGTCAAATGGTATTTCTGGTTCTAGATCTTTGAGGAATCGCCACACTGTCTTCCACAATGGTTGAACTAATTTACACTCCCACCAACAGTGTAAAAGCATTCCTATTTCTCCACATCCTCTGCAGCATCTGTTGTTTCCAGACTTTTTAATGATCACCATTCTAACTGGTGTGGGATTATATCTCATTGTGGTTTTGATTTGCATTTCTCTAATGACCAGTGATGATGAGCTTTTTTGCACATGTCTGTTGGCCGCATTAATCTCTTCTTTTGATAATTGTCTGTTCATATCCTTCACCCACTTTTTAATGGGGTTGTTGCTTTTTTCTTGTAAGTTTGTTTATGTTCCTTGTAGGAAATAAGAGAGGACAGAAACAAATGGAAAAACATTCCATGCTCATGGATAAGAAGAATCAATGTCATGAAAATGGCCATACTGCCGAAAATAATTTAGAAATTCAGTGCTATTCCCATCAAGCTACCATTGACTTTCTTCACAGAACTAGAAAAAAACTACTTTAAATTTCACATGGAACCAAAAAAGACCCCGTATAGCCAAGACAATCCTAAGAAAAAGAACAAAGCTGGAGGCATCAGGCTACTGGACTTCAAACTATACTACAAGGCTACCAAGGCTACAGTAATCAAAACAGCATGGTACTGGTACCAAAACAGATATATAGACCTGGGCATATTCTCACTCATATGTTGGAGCAGAAAAATGAGAACACATGGACACAGGGAAAGGAACAGAACAGGGGCCTCAGAAATAACACCACACATCTACAACCATCTGATCTTCTACAAACGTGACAACAATAAGCAATGAGGAAAGGATTCCCTATTTAATAAATGGTGCTGAGAAAACTGTCTAGCACATGCAGAAAACAGAAACTGGCCCCCTTCCTTACACCTTATACAAAAATTAACTCAAGATGGATTAAAGATTAATACATAAAACCTAAAGCATAAAAACCCTAGAAGAGGCTGGGCTTGGTGGCTCACGCCTGTAATCCCAGCACTTTGGGAGGCCAAGGCGGGCGGATCACGAGGTCAGGAGATCGAGATCATCCTGGCTAACACGGAGAAACCCCGTCTCTACTAAAAATACAAAAAATTAGCCAGGCGTGGTGGTGGGCTCCTGTAGTCCCAGCTACTTGGGAGGCTGAGGCAGGAGAATGGCGTGGATCCAGGAAGCGGAGCTTGCAGTGAGCAGAGATCAGGCCACTGCATTTCAGCCTGGGTGACAGAGCAAGACACCGTCTCAAAAAAAAAAAGAAAAAAAGAAAAAGAAAAAGAAAAAAAAAAGAAACCTAGAAGAAAACCTAGGCAATACCATTCAGGACTTAGGTATGGGCAAAGACTTCATGACTAAAACACCAAAAGCAATTGCAACAAAAGCCGAAATTGACAAGTGAGATCTAATTCAACTAAATAGCTTCTGCTCAGTAAACGAAACTGTCATCAGTGTGAGCAGGCAACCAACAGAAAGGGAGAAAATTTTTGCGATCTATCCATCTGACAAAGGTCTAACATCCAACCATGTTTTACAAACTATGTAATACTCTTACAATAAGACACATTTTTCTTACAACAATAAGAGTGGCTTTTCTATAAATGTACCTAATATGTTATTCTTGCATATGTCATACAATAAATATGTCATATAATATTTAGATATATCATTGTTTTTCTTTTTCTTTCTTTTTTTTTTTTTTTAAGAGATGGGATTGTGCTAGAGCAGCACAGGCTGGTCTTGAATTCTGAGATCAAGCAACCCTCCTGCCTCATCTTTGTGAATATCTGGGACTACAGGTATGCACCACATTGACCAGCAATTTGGGAATTTCTTACCCCTCAATCACACTATATGAAATTCATGGAGTCACAAAGAATAACAGGGAAATCTTCTTAGTTTAGGATGTTTATCATCTAATTTCAATGTGAATAATTTTTAGATACAAATAAATCTATAACAAACAGCCTAGCCAGAGTAGAATATTTGAATTAGTGCTTTAGTCTTTGCCCCATTCTGCAGGGCAGTCTGAAATTATTCATGGTGTCCACTGCCATGTTTTTCAGTGTTCATTTTGGGGTAGCATTTCTTTGAGCATAGATATAATATTATTGAATACATGGTTATTGGAAGGGTTTTAAGAAACATATACACATACTGGCTTGCTATAATATCTGCTGCAGGAAAGAGGTGGCATTGGTGGTGTTCGTGGTAATGGTCGTGGTATTGAATCTTGGAGTTGTTGCTGTTGATTTTTTTTCTGCTTTTAGTGTGATTTTTTTAACGGACATATAATAATTATAACATATTTGTAAGGTACAGTGTGAATTTTGGATACATGTATACATGTATAATGATCAAATCAGAGCAATTAGCATATCCATTACCTCAAACATTTATTATCGCTTTGTGTTGGGAATATTCAAATATTAGTTAGAGCAGGAGACTCCAAGTAAGACAAGGATTATTAAAAATAGCCTTTTATTACAAATTTCCATCAATTATACCCACAGCATGATAAATATATTTATATATTCAAAAAGGCACTAATATTAATCATCAAAAATATGAAGTGTACTGTGGAGAGGAAAATTAATGAAATCATTATTAGTTCATTATAGTGTGAAATATTTCAAGCAAGATTTAATATTGTACAAAAATTGAACACCTGAACCGTACAACTGCAATATGGAACACCCAACCAATAACCAATCCTCTGCGTATCTGCATATCTGTGTGTGGGTGTGTAGATCTACCCTCTTACCAATTTTCAGGTGTACAATGCTGTATTGTATCTATAGACACAAGGTAGTACAGCAGCTCTCTAGAATGTATTCATCTTGCCAAACTATCTATTGAACAGTGACTCCCTATTTCCCCCTTACTCCTAGGCCCAGGCAACCAACATTCTACTGTCTAGAGGTTTCTATAAATTCAATGATTTTAGGTACCTCCTATAAGTGGTATCATACAATATTTGGCCTCTATGACTGGCTTATTTCACTTAACATTTTCAAAATTTATCTATAGTGTTGCATATGGCAGGATTTCCTCATTTTTGTAGCTGATTAAAATTATCTTTAGAGAATATACCATATTTTTAAATCTACTAATTCAAAGATAGACATTATGTTTGATTTCACATCTTGGCTATTGTGAAAAATATTATAAAAATTATAATCATTTTTTGATAGAAAGGTATTAGAAAAAAGAATGTTTAACTTAGAACAACTTCAAACACAGCAAAATGGAAAAAACATGAAAATATGTGCATTAAAAACTGTAATGTTTTATTGTTATTTATAAAAATATTGTTTATATGGAGTTTGTACCTTAAATTGTATAATTTTACTTAAAATATTTTCTGAAATATGAAAATTATAACTTGAAATATATTTTATATTAATTTGATTTGAATAATTTATAATTTTTGTACTGTGACTATAGCAATAATTTTTTTTGTGATATGTAGTTATGTCACTCTCTTGTTAGAATATCCTGGCCAACATGGCGAAACCCCGTCTCTACTAAAAATACAAAAAGTGGCCAGGCACAGTGGCACATGCCTGTAATCTTAGCTACTTAGGAGGCTGAGGCAGGAGAATTGCTTGACCTCTGGAGGCCGAGGTTGCAGTGAGCGGAGATCGTGCCACTGCACTCCAGCCTGGGCAACAGAGAGAGACTCTATCTTAAGAAAATAAATAAATAAAATAAAATATACAGCATAGAAATTACTCCCATGAATGAGTATGTTCACAGCATTTCCATAAAAACCCTATTTAACCACTGAAAAATAATACTGTATCAAAATATTAATAAGAATTTTAAACATATAAGTTAAGACAACCATAATGTTTTCAATTTAATACATCTATTTCTAGCTTTGTATATTGCTATCCAATCTTAATCTATGTAACTGCTCCATTGAAGTTATTTGAGCTCATTTGCACATGCCTTTTTTGTTTTAACTACTTTTCCTTTAGTACTATATTATTTAAAAATCAGTTACTAAATAATCTAAATAATCACAAAGTATAATGGCTGACTAGTGACATCTAAAGTGTACCACAGTATTCCTTTTCAGGTTTTTAAATTAAAGGTAAAAAAAAAAGCCACATATGTATTTTTATAAGGGAAAGGTCTTGTTTCTGTCTTTTTCTTTTTGTTTTGGTTTTGGAGAAGTTATTCTTTTAACGTATATTTCTGAGAGTAGAACTCCTCTGTTAAAAAATAAGGTGACATATATGTTTATTTCTGTGCATTTCACATTGCTTTCTGTTCTTGTAATGTTTGTGAAAGCCATCAACAGTGTAAGAATGTACCAATTTAAAGCATGGCATATATCTGGAGTTATCTCTTTTCCCTAATTTAGTGGACAATGAAATGGGCATAATCTTTTTTTCCTTCTTTTAAAGTATGCCACTTTAACAAAATATGTTTTAAACAAAATATCTACCGTTTTCTTAGCAAGAAAATGTTACTGCATTATGAGGTGTCAGCATTTGTATTTCAATAAATGATAGAATGAATTTAACAAAGCAGTATTTTTATTACAAGATTGAAAATGCTTACCTTGGAAATGTATATGTTTCTAACAAAAATGTCAGTACAATGAAAAACTAATGAAGTTTGCCAAAATTAAACATTGATCAGATATGTCTGTGAACAAAAACCTAGATAATTTGAACATATATTGAATAGATCAGCATATTGAGAAGGAAGATACACATTGAAATTGTTCCATGATTACTGTACAATATTTTTGTTCTATAAAAAATGCAAGAAACTCAGAAAGTTAAACAGTTATAATGGGCAAGAAGGAGAGGTAAATGTTGAAATAATTCTTTATAAATGCTTATGAAAATAATTATCCCTCAAACATACTATTATATTTGATTCTACAAAAATCTATAAACATATTAAGAGGACAATAGAATTTTGAGCATTAAGCAGCATGAGGTTTATTAAGAATAGACATGCAACAGAAGCTTAATAGCTTCTTTTGATTCATTGTTAATTACAAAATTAGGGCATGCTGTGAATCGGCTCCATCGTCAATATTTGTACTCTAATAAGCATTTTGGATTACTGTTTTTAAAGCACATTTTGCCATTGTAACTTTTTGCTTGTTTGTTTATTTGAGACGGAGTCTCGCTCTGTCACCCACGCTGAAGAGCAGTGGCACGATCTCGGCTCACTGCAACCTCCGCCTCCAAGGTCAAAGCGACTCTTTTGCCTCAGCCTCCAGAGTAGCTGGAACTGCAGGAGCGCGCCACCACGCCCGTCTAATTTTTCTATTTTTAGTGGAGACAGGGGTTCACCATATTGGCCAGGCTGGTCTTGAACTAACTACTGACCTCGTGATCCACCGGCCTCGGCCTCCCAAAGTGCTGGGATTACAGGCATGAGTCACCGCGCCCGGCCTACCATTGTAACTTCTAATACGTTATTGGTAAGATGCATGTTTGAAGCTAGATATTGTCATTAACCTATTCTATTGAAAAGAGACTGAGATGAAGGTTATGTAACTGTGTGAAACTGGGCAGCAATTTAGTTAGCACAGAAACCAATAAACAATGTTAGTTATAGGATGTCCATATAATGTCCATTATGGGATTTTTACCAATTAGATTACCATATATTATCAGTATAGATTCATCCAAATAATTTTATTTCAATTAAAATAATAAGTTTAAGCTCGTCACAGTGGCTCATGCCTGTAATTCTAGCACTTTTTGAGACCAAGTATGCAGAATGCTTGAGTCTACAAGCTCAAGACAAGTGTGGGCAACATGACCAAACTCCATCTCTACAAAAAATACAAAAATTAGCCAGGCATGGTGGCATGCACCTTTAATCCCAGCTATTCAGGAGGCTGAGATGGGAGGATCGCTTGAGCCTAGGAGATCAAGTGCAGT
This sequence comes from Homo sapiens, assembly GCF_000001405.40. Lineage (NCBI taxonomy): Eukaryota > Metazoa > Chordata > Mammalia > Primates > Hominidae > Homo > Homo sapiens. The sequence continues at coordinate 50,979 of NW_013171800.1, read as the reverse complement.
GAGCTGAGGGTACACCACTGCATTCCAGAATGAGAGAAAGAGCGAGATCCTGTCTCAAAAGAAATATAATAATAATAATAATATGTTTGAGGTTACAAAAATAATTTAAATTGATAAATGGAGTGTACTGATATCTCAGTAAGAAAATAGGAGTATATATGTACAGGAAGACCTATATATATCAACATCACAAATTATTGAGTAAATAAGACATAATTTAAAATTATTTTAGCCTTATATTTTCAGACAAATTATTAAAAATTAGAAAAATTTTAGTATGACACTAGCAAAGGAGAATATACTAATTTTACAAACAGGATGGGATTTTTGGACTTTGATAACAATGTCGATTTCAGGAAGTGTTTAGCATCATTCCATTGCACTGAATATCATTGTATTTCAGTCTGTTTCCAAAAAATAATTGTTCAATAAAAAATTATTGATATATTTTATACGTTACATTTAAAAGGTGATCTAGAAACTTATAATGGTCTTTGGCTCAACACAAATTCTAAATCAAATCTTTTCACTTCCCTGATGAAAACTCTCCAGTGATGTCCCCCTACATAACTGAGACTATGGTCATTATATCCATCAGTTTATGTTTCTAAACTAATTTCATACCACTCTCCAAAAGCATAGCTTACTCCACTCTTGGTCCACTGGCTTTCTTGTTGATTTTTGAATCTATCAAGTTCATTTTTTAACCCAGATAATTTTCACATAGGCTTCCGTTTCCAACTTTTCTTCAGCTACTTGCCTCTGTAGCATTTCATTGAAGTCACAGCTAAAATATATATTTACTGTTTCTAAAGTACTTCTCTGAGTTTTATTTTCATAATAGCTCCTTCAATCCCTGTCACTTTTTTATCTCCATGAGCACCAGTAACTCATAAATACTTGTTGAATGAGTTTATGAATGAGCTTCAGTTTTTCAGCTATATAGTGAATATATTACTATTGGTGATTTCTAGTGTACCTGCTATATATAACATTATAAAAATATAGCAGCTACCATTCACTGAGTATCTGTCACATGTCATATACTTTCATATTTTTAATACATCAAATTTGCCAGTACTTTATATTGTACCCATTTGATATACGAACAAACAAAAGTTTAAAAGGGCAAAGTGCGTGGCTCTGCATCACAATAATAGTAAATAAAACAACTAGAATTCAAATTCAGGTTAACTGAACTGCAAAACTAAAAAACTATATGTTACTGAGGAATTTTAAAATAGTCTTGTTTCAAAAGATTTGTATGTGGAAGCTGATGTGTAAATGGTTGCTCTAATAAAATCAGGATGGCAATAATTGCAGCAGGAAGGGAGACTAGTAATAAGATCTCCACAAGTTATTCCCTCCCCTTTCAGAGGAAGCACCTAGGGGAACAATCTGAAGATCAATGGACTGTTTAGCACTACCTCTCATACACTAACTAGTAAATATTGGTGCAAACTCTTTCCTGTAGGCTTTATAGAGCCTATTTCATGTTCTGCTAAGAGAAGCCCAGAAATGCAAAGTAGCAAAGTACTTGGGAATGTATCTGTGAAATAAATATTGGGAGAACTTAAATTGTACCCAAAAAATCAGAGGAATAAAATTTATGCATGAATTGGAAAATTCAGTAAGTTTTAAAGTTCTCCTAAATTTAATATAAATACAATAACAATAGTTTATATGTAATTAAAAATTAATTTAAAAACTATATATAGAAAGACAGAGTCTTTCAGATAATGTTGAAAATAAAAGACAAAGATGAGAAGTGTCATATTATCAGTTATCAAGATACAGGAATAAACCTTCACTATTTTGAGAGACAAACAAATGAATGAGTAGAATATAATAGAATGTGCAGAAGCAGGTCTGACCATTTATGAATATGTGGTTTATGGCAAATGTGCCCCTTCAGTGCTGTGGTCCTTTTAATTAAAGGTGCCAAGTAATACAATGTAGAAATAATCTTGTAGTATAGTTTGAAGTCAGGTAGCGTGATGCCTCCAGCTTTGTCCTTTTGCCTTGGAATTGACTTGGCAATGCGGGCTCTTTTTTGGTTCCATATGAACTTTAAAGCTGTTTTTTTCCAATTCTGTGAAGAAAGTCATTGGTAGCTTGATGGGGATAGCATTGAATCTATAAATTACCTTGGGCATTATGGCCATTTTCACGATATTGATTCTTCCTATCCATGAGCATGGAATGTTCTTCCATTTGTTTGTGTCCTCTTTTATTTTTTTGAGCAGTGGTTTGTTGTTCTCCTCGAAGAGGTCCTTCACATCCCTTGTAAATTCCTAGGTATTTTATTCTCTTTGAAGCAATTGTGAATGGGAGTTCACTCATGATTTAGCTCTCTGTTTGTCTTGTATTGGTGTATAAGAGTGCTTGTGATTTTTGCACATTGATTTTGTATCCTGAGATTTTGCTGAAGTTGCTTATCAGCTTAAGGAGATTTGGGGCTGAGATGATGGGGTTTTCTAAATATACAATCATGTCATCTGCAAAGAGGGACAATTTGATTTCCTCTTTTCTTAAGTGAATACCCTTTATTTCTTTCTCCTGCCTGATTGCCCTGGCCAGAACTTCCAACCCTGTGTTGAATAGGAGTGGTGAGAGAGGACATCCCTGTCTTGTGCCAGTTTTCAAATGGAATGCTTCCAGTTTTTGCCCATTCAGTATGATATTGGCTGTGGGTTTGTCATAGATATCTCTTATTATTTTGAGATACATCCCATCAATACCTAATTTATTGAGAGTTTTTAGCATGAAGGGTTGTTGAATTTTGTCAAAGGCCTTTTCTGCAACTATTGAGATAATCATGTGGTTTTTGTCATTGGTTGTGTTTATATGCTGGATTACGTTTATTGATTTTTGTATGTTGAACCAGCCTTGCATCCCAGGGATGAAGCCCACTTGATCATGGTGGATAAGCTTTTTGATGTGCTGTTGGATTCAGTTTGCCAGTATTTTATTGAGGATTTTTGCATCGATGTTCATCAGGGATATTCGTCTAAAATTCTCTTTTTTTGTTGTGACTTCAAACTATGCTACAAGGCTACAGTAGCCAAAACAGCATGGTACTGGTACCATAACAGAGACATAGACCAATGGAACAAAACAGAGCCCTCAGAAATAATACCACACATCTACAACCATCTGATCTTTGACAAACCTGACAAAAACAAGAAATGGGGAAAGGATTCCTTAATAAATGGTGCTGGGAAAACTGGCTAGCCACATGTAGAAAGCTGAAACTGGATCCTTTCCTTACACCTTATACAAAAATTAATTCAAGATGGATTGAAGACTTAAATGTTAGACCTAAAACCATAAAAAACCCTAGAAGAAAACCTAGGCAATACCATTCAGGACATAAGCATGGGCAAGGACTTCATGTCTAAAACACCAAAAGCAATGGCAACAAAAGCCAAAATTGACAAATGGGATCTAATTAAACCAAAGAGCTTCTGCACAGCAAAAGTGAACAGACTTCTGCACTACCATCAGAGTGAAAAGTGCAGACATCTACACTACCATCAGAATGAACAGACAACCTACTGAATGGGAGAAAATTTTTGCAATCTACTCATCTGACAAAGGGCTAATATCTAGAATCTACAAAGAACTCAAACAAATTTACAAGAAAAAAAACAAACAACCCCATCAAAAAGTGGGTGAAGGATATGAACAGACACTTCTCAAAAGAAGACTTTTATGCAGCCAACAGACACATGATAAAATGCTCATCATCACTGGCCATCAGAGAAATGCAAATCAAAACCACAATGAGATAACATTTCACGCCAGTTAGAATGGTGATCAGGAAACAACAGGTGCTGGAGAGGATGTGGAGAAATAGAAGCACTTTTACACTGTTGTTGGGAGTGTAAACTAGTTCAACCATTGTGGAAGTCAGTGTGGCAATTCCTCAGGGATCTAGAACTAGAAATACCATTTGACCCAGCCATCCCATTACTGGGTATATACCCAAAGGATTATAAATCATGCTGCTATAAAGACACATGCACACATATGTTTATTGCATTACTATTCACAATAGCAAAGACTTGGAACCAACCCAAATGTCCATCAATGATAGACTGGATTAAGAAGATGTGGCACATATACGTCATGGAATACTATGTATCTGTAAAAAAGGATGAGTTCATGATCTTTGTAGGGACATGGATGAAGCTGGAAACCATCATTCTCAGCAAACTATTGCAAGGACAAAAAACAAAACACCGCATTTTCTCACTCATAGATGGGAATTGAACAATGAGAACACTTGGACACAGGAAGGGGGACATCTCACACTGGGGCCTGTCATGGGATGAGGGGAAGCAGGAGGGATAGCATTAGGAGATATACCTAGTGTAAATGACGAGTTAATGGGTGCAGCACACCAACATGGCACATGTATACATATGTAACAAACCTGCACGTTGTGCACATGTACCTTAGAACTTAAAGTCTAATAATAAAAAAAGAATATAGAAATAATCATGACCCCATTTCATCTACACTACACTATTCACAGAAATGGTTTCCAGGTGGAAACCCGCTAAAGAGAAAAGATCTTGTAGAACAGTTGAGCTTTCAATGCAGATCTCAAGGTGTTGTGCCTTAAGAGTGGAGCTAGCCAGAACTATAGAAAATGATACTCTGAGACTATCCTTTCAAAACTTAAAAGAATGTCTCAAATGAATCTAGTTCAGCCACAAGTAATGTAACTGGTACAAAATACAAAATCCAACACCTTTTATAGTAGTATAATATCCATCCCTCAAGAGAGTAAATTGTGAATGCCTGGTATCTAATTAAAGTTTACCACACATACAGAGAACTAGAAAAAATGTAACCCATAAATCAAAGGAAAAAATTGATTTAAAAAACAGGGAATTATACAGGTGGTAGAATATCAACATGGACTTTAAAGGGGGCTATTCTATACATTATAGAAGTATAAGAAATGCATGCAATATAAAGAAATGCATGAATATTGAAAAGACAAAAATGGGAGATGCATTTTAAAAAGAGAAATAGAACTTCTACACATAAAGAATAAAATACAGGATTTGAAATTTTCACTTGATGGAATTAACAGTTGATTAGTCATTGGAGAAGAAAGGATCACAAAATTTGAAAATATGACAATAGAGACTATCTAATATGAAAGATACAGAAAAAAAGAGAATAAAATCAATGAAAAGAGCTTCAATGGCCTTAGGATATAAATTCTAGCATATATGCAATCAGATTCAAAGACAGAGAAAAGAGAAAGGGAATGAAAAATTTTAAATTTGAACAGCCTCATTCATAACTGAAAAGACGATTAATGAAAGCACTTAGAATGTCATAATTAAGAAAGTCAGAGGAAGAGAATGTCTCCAAACTAAGAAGAAATGTCCAGAGCTTGAAAGAAAACAAGGCATGCATAGATCACAGAGAGAAAAAACGTGAACAGAGTGTTGAGAATGGAGGTAGCATTGCCAAACTGTACAAGTGAGATCAAGTAAGATAAGGTCTAGAAAGTGATCTTTTGAGTTTTTAAGTAGTTGCCATTGATAACTTTGTCAAGGGAAGTTTTATTACACTGGTCATTTCTAAGAAGATTGCAGATTTTGAAGAGTGGATGTTTATAATAGCATATAGGAAGGATTTGTGGCTCACCTGTTGGAATGCTGGAGACAAGGTTGTGGAAGATAGAGGAAGACACTTGTTTATGTCAAGGTGTCTTTTGGAACTAAGATAAAATGACTAGCGTTGAGATGGTGTCTTTTGTAAATGGGATATTTTCCAACTACATATAGGAAATGAATAAATACTGAGAGGAAAATAGGATTTAAGTCTAAATCTTACTGTGGTAATTGAATAACTTTCTTCCATATTTTATATAACAATCACAATAAAATACAAGTTGTCATATTGAACTTTATAATGTGAAAATCTGTCTCATAATACCTGTCTTCTTAGACTAGCATTATCACCTGAAATATGTTTTGAAATTATAACTAAGTAGTATCACCTTTAGGATGGCATCAAGCCTCTGTGTGTGTCTTGCTTGAGATTATAGTTTACAATTATATATATGTACATATGTGTGTGTGTGTGCATGTGTGTGTGTATGTATATGTAATAACTTATATGTATATATTTGTCTTCCTTCTTGTTAATGAGCATTAATTTAAGCACAGATAAACTTCTAGGAAATGTTGGGAAAAAACTAAACAAATGAAGAAAATGTCGTGATTCATCTTTTTCTGGCATGCAGTTTTAACTTGTCACCAGGAACACTGACATAGTCGTTTCATGTGTCTGCTGAGGAAATGATCTGAATACCGATTGTGAATTTTGACTGCAGATGTTAGAAGCAAACCATTTCTAACAGATGTATAATCTGATTAAATATGCAATGCAATGATATTGTCAAAACCTATTAATCACTCTTTCAGGACACATTAGTGTAGGCTTTACTGACAGCTGTGAGGATTTGAATATCTCTACAGTTGCAGGTACTGTTGCTCATCCACACCGCCCAATAGATGTTAAAAAGAAAAATAACCACAATAGGCAAGTGTACAGGGTACTTTAAATGTTGCATGTTAATTTTTTTCAGCATTGGGGGAAGAGATATATTTTTATTCCAGTAATGTTTACCCTACCTGCGTTTGTTTGCTTCTTACCCCCAAATTACAGGGATTTTCTGTCACACTGGGACTAATTCGAAAATGCAGATACAGAGCCAGACCTCCAGCATACATATATTAGGAAGCAGTCCCATGACTGATGATTATGCAATATGTGTTCACAGATAAATAGTAGCAAAACCTTGTTTCCCACTGAGAATGCTAACATGTATTGATTTCTCTTGCCCATTGATACACACAGGTGTTGCAATTTATTTTGGAAAGGGTAGCACCATAACTTTATGATCATCAGCCTGGAGATTTTATTTCTGTCCTTGGTTTGCCCTTACTATTTGATATTCCTGACAGTATTAATGATCTTTAGTAAAACTAAACTAAAGCAAATGTTTGCCTATATGTGATCCAAATATTCTCACATTGAATCACTCTAAATGCCAGAATTTTTACAACACAGTCTTATGCACTAGATAAATAATTTTATAATCAAAATTCTCACTGTTTCCAATCCTCTCATACTCATTTAAGAAACAGAATGTGTTAGAAATGACCAACATTTTCAGAGATTGAGCTACTCAGGGTTATGAAATGAAATCTTGCAGTGAGTCTTTGAGCTAACAAGAAAAATTAAGCGAAGAAGGACTTCCCTTCACAAGTGAACGTACTTCACTTCTCAAACCACCCATTAAAGCTTGAATAGACCATTGTTACTTTAAGAAAATAGAAATAGCAGTAGTAACATTCATCCCTTTCAAGTCTCTTAAGTACATTAAGCTCTTTTTATTTCCAGTTTTCTTTTCCCTTAAGATGTATGTTACTGGTCATACATATTATTTTGTAAATTTCCCTATTCCACGACTTGGTTATTTGGGATCCTATCCAAAGTATTTTTCTTATAGGAAATCTACAGCATTCAGTTAGGCCTAAAAATGACTTTCTTAGCTGTTGAATATGCACAATGGCAAACACACCCTGCTGACCAATACTCAGTATCTCTATTTTGTTCCTGCCAAACTGCAGATAGTAGAAGAGGAGACTTACACTTCACATTCTTGCATATTGTTATAGCAGAAATAGAGATTATGTTTCTTTTACAAATTTACTCTTAGAAATGAAAGTTTCCTGATGACTATGACTTATAAATCCAATAATCTATCTTACTGAAAAAAATTAGTAAAAACATAAACTAAATTTTCTGTGATCAATTCAAGAACATAGAAATAGTTGCTACTTTGAAGATTTTGAGGTTGAAACAAATTTATTAATCATCTTCTATTTCTGAGTCAAAGTAATCAAGGTGAGAAATCTTAATTTCTAAATAGGAATGTCAAGAATGTTTCTGTTTCCAACAACATTTCCATAATATTTTCTAATTTGTAAAATTAAGCAAATACAAATGTTTCAGTCTTCAATTGCATGTATTAATCCAGGCATACTAACAAATCCTTGGATCATTGGATGATTGTTTTAACATGTTTGTACAACTAATATTACAAATAACTCGATAGTCATTAGGTACCAAAAAGTTAACCAATTTTTTTTAAACTGACTTTTCCTTACTGTTTACTTTGTTTCAAATCCTGACATCAGGAAAAGAATTAAATACCACAGAATCTGCTTATATAGAAGATTTAGAATTGATTTGAAAAATAATTTATTACAAAGTAAAAAGTGATGTCATTAAGTAATATCTCTCTGGGAAATTTGGTATCTTTCTTCTGGGTTATACCCACCACCAATATTTTAGGATTTTCTTTTCTTCTAAAAATTGAAGAAGGGATAACCTAATAATAAGTAAGTATTAAAATAATATTAAATGAGGCAATATGAACAAATTTTGGATTTTGAAAATTTGAATATTCTTTTTAAATGTTAGAATATGGTTCAAGATGAATATTTAAAACTATAATACACAAAAGTATATAAATCACCTAAATTCAGTAGTTATAGACACATATGCTGAAATAGTATTACATAATTCGATATAAGTAAAACTCAAGTCTACTACCACCATTGGTTTTAATTTAGTGTTAAAAGGCATATTTAAATAATAACTAGCAAGATCAGGGCTGTTTGGGGGCAAACCCACTAAAACAAGTAAAAAAAAACTTTTTCAGATGTTGCAAGTCAGAAAAGTATGATGGACTATTCACGTCAAATTAAAAGCAAAGTATTCACAGGTTTTAAAATCTCACATACTTCTTTAAGGCTTAAAGAAAAACATTTTCTATCCTGGGCAACATAGCAAGATTCTGTCTCCAAAAAATGTTAAAAAATGTAGCCAGGTGTGGTGCTGCAAATGTGGTCCCAACTACTAGGGAGGCTGAGGCAGGAAGAGCACTTGAACACAAGAGTTCAGGGCTGCAGTGTGTTACGAACTCTCACACTCTACTCCAGCCTGGGCTAGAGTTTGTGTTGTTTCTCCTGAGTTATAAATGGCTACCAAAATTATTATCAATGTCTCCCAAACTCTCTGACAAAATTGTGCTCACTCTTGCACTGTCTTTAATCTCATCAGCTCTTTGATCAGTTCCCTTAATATGTTTGTAGATAACTTTCTGAAAGCACTAACCTTACCACTCTAAATTTATATGGCTACTTGCTTTGCTTTCATCCTGGGAGTTCCCCCACCACCATCCTATGAATTCCCTTCACTATTTTCCATGTTTCCTGAATACCATGTCTTCTACCTTCTTTTTTTTTCCATTCTCACTTAATGAAACATATCTTACCGTAGGCTTTGAAAGGGGTTGTATATAAGGACACATCATATTCTACAAATATAATTATGTGAGTACACCTAATAAACTCTCTATATACTTTTTATACTATATAAATATGTATTTTACTCTTTCTCATACTTACAAATGTGTTTTCATATATATTTATAGTTGCTAATCACTTATCCCTAAAATGTTGAAAAGACTTAATTTATATTCTATATTAATTTTTAGAAGTCCAAAGCTACTCAGATTCTGCATTTTCTACTCTTAGAAGAAAACAGAGAAAAGCTTCATGACAATAGAGATGGCAATAATTTATTTGACACAAAGGGCACAGGCAAACAAGAAAAAAATAGATGTCTTAGTTCATTCGGTGCTGCTGTAACATAATACCTGATACTGGGTAACTTATAAGAAACAGAAATTTATTGATTCATGATTCTAAAGACTGGGAAGTCCCAAAACCAAGGGGCTGGCATCTTTTGAGGACCATATTGCTGTGTCATCCTGAGAGGTGAAGCCAGGTGGACCTCCTGGGTCCAGTGGGGACTTGGAGAATTTTCTGTCTAGTAAGAGGATTGTAAAATGCACGAATCAGTGCTCTGTAAAAACTCAGCAATCAGCGCTCTGTAGCTAGCAAGAGGATTGTAAAATGCACAGATCAGCACTCTGTAAAATGCTCGAATCAGCGCTCTGTAAAATGCACCAATCAGCAGGATCCTGAAAGTAGCCAATCACAGGGAGTATTGAAAAAGGGGCACTCTGATAGGACAAAAACGGAACATGGGAGGGGGACAAATAAGGGAATAAAAACCGGCCACACCAGCCAGCAGTGGCAACGTGCTCGGGTCCCCTTCCACGCTGTGGAAGCTTTGTTATTTCGCTCTTCACAATAAATCCTGCTGCTGCTCACTCTTTGGGTGCATGCCACCTTTAAGAGCTGTTAACACTCACTGGGAAGGTCCGTGGCTTCATTCTTGAGGTCAGTGAGACCATGACCCACTGGAAGGAGCCAACTCTGGACACAGTCCCATGGTGGAAGGACAAAGAAAGGGCAAGAAAGAGCAAGAGATCAAACTTGAAGCCTTAACCTCTTTTATAACTGGCATTAATCCATTTATGAGAGTGAAGCCCTCATCACCTAAACACCTCTCATTAGGCCCAACCTTCAAACCCTGTTGCATTGAGGATTAAGTTACCAACCCCTGCTCTTGGGGGAACATATTCAAACCATAGCAATTGGACTTCATCAAAATTTATAAATGTTGAGCATTAAAGAACACTATCAAGAACGTGAGAAGGCAACCCATGGAATGGAAGAAGATATTTCCAAATCACATATCTGGTAAGGGATTAGTAGCCAGAATATGTAAAGAACATTGACACCTCAACAAAAAAATACAACTCAATTAAAAATTGGGCAAATAATTTGCATAGACATGTCTCCACAGAGGATACACTAAAAGCAAGTAGACATATGAGAATATGCTCAAAATCGCTTATTGGGAAATGCAAATCAAACTCACAGGGAGGTATCACTTTACAGCCATTAGGAAAGCTCTTATCATGAAAATAGAAAATAACAAGTATTGGTCAGGAGGCAGAGAAATTGAAACACTTGTGCATTAATGGTTGGAATGTAAAATAGTGCAGCCACTCTAGAAAATGTTGTCGTGGTTTCTCAAAAAACTAAACTTCATTACCATGTGACCAAGCAATTCCATTCTTACAAGTACACTCCGAAGAATTCAAAGCAGAAACTTGAACAGATCTCTAAACACCAATGTCTATAGCAACTTTATTCATAAGAGCAAAAATGTGGAAGCAACCCAAATGTCTGTCCATCAACAGATGAATGGATAAACAAAACAAAGAAAAAAAAATATATATATAAACAAAACAAAGAAAAAAATATGTATAGTACATTTTGTTTATCCTTTCATCTATATATCCATTTATCCATATATATATATATATATATATACATACATATTTGAATGTTATTCACTGTTAAATTCTGATACAAGCTACAGCATGGATACACCTTGAGAACATAATATTAAGTTAAATAGTACTGACACAAGATAAAAATTGGGAATTTTTTCCCAATAATTGGAATTGCATAATTCCACTTGTATAATGTACCTAGAGTAAAATTTATAAAGACAGAAAGTAGACTAGTCTGTACCATGTGCTTGGAAAACAAAAATGTTTTTGCCACTGAATTGTATTTTAAAAATAGTTAAAATGGTAAATTTGATATTTCATATATTTTATCACAATATAAAAGCAAATAACATCACTATAAATACTTCAACTTAAAAAATAAAAAAAATTATGTGAGCAATGTTTTTCCAGTTTTTGAAAGTACAAGACAAATTAAAGGCAATAAGTCGTGTATTTACAAAAAGATGTGGTGGAGTTAGCATGAATATCTAGAAGTTTTACAAATGTGATTCAAATTATAATGGCATATTTGTTTATAGTTTTTCGTTATTTTTGCAAAGTGACACTTTTTTCTTGATTTCACAGCCATACTATTCTAAAAAAGTGATAATTATACAGTTATACAGCTCTTGAGGTTCTCTGAATAAGAACTGAAGCAACAGTAGAGGGGAAGTCTTCTTGCAATTATTATTTAAAAGAATCAGAGGAGGCATGAAATGCTGTGGGTATCCAGAGAGCCAAGCAAGTAGAAAAGAATGAAGCAGATATTCTGTGCAGGAAAGGATAAACTCAGCATGTTTTAGGTGTTCAAACACTATACATTCCAAATAACTGATTGTTGGCAGGCTCCTGGGAGATAACCTTTAAGACCTTGGAATATCAAATAAAAGTGTTTTGTACACCTGGGGCCTTAGGCCACACCAGACCATTTAAGCAAAATATGAGATTTATGGTGAGGACCTTGAGCCAGGCTGTATCAGCTTGATGTATCTATATCTGGAGGGGCTGAAGTTTGCATAACTAAAGTCAACCACAGGGTTGCTCCATGCCTGTGTGACTGACCCTCAATAGAACTACAGGATACCAACTCTGCTGAGCTTCCCTGGTTGGCAATACTTCATACATATTATTACACATTATTGCTTGGAGAATTAAGTGCTGTCCCTGCAACTCCACTGAGAGAGAAAAACTGGAAGCTTGTGTCTTGTCTCTCCTGGATTCTGTTCTCTGTACCTTGTTCCTTTGCTGAGTTGAATTTGTATTCTTCTGCTCTAATAAGCCATAATCATGAGTATAGCAGTTTTGCTGAATTCTGTGAGTTCTCTTAGAAAATAATTGAAACTGAGGGTGGTATTGGGGAGCAGCAACACAAAGTCTAGAAAAGCATCATTAAAAGGAACCATACAAAATGGAGAATGATTTGTTAAAAACAATGGGAACGCATCGACAGACAATGAGGCAAAGTGCATAAATTCACAACCAATACAATGATGATGCATTCTGAAGCACCTTCTAAAGATAATATTTATAGTATGCCAGATTCCTATTGTATTGGTGAGGAGGAACAGGTGTAATTAATTTTCATATTTAAAAAATTTGGATTTATTCTGATCATGAATATGAGGTCTGAGTTCCCTGTTGTGCACAGCTTAATGGGTAAATAGGGAGCTTATCTCAGGTTGCCTGGGCTCTGATTCAAGCTTCTCAAATTACTGGCTCGGTGTCCTTTGACAAATTAGACTCACTCTCAGTATGTCAGCTTCCCATATGTAAAGTGGTGATGCAGATCATGCCAACTTCATAATTTATGGGTGTTATTGAAGTTAATACATGTAAAATGCTTAACCAGTACCTAATAAGGTCTCAGTAAATGATTTTTATAATCATTCCAGAAGGCATTAAACAAATAACATAGAATTGCAATGAAATAAGTTACTGTTTTCGTATAAACAGTATTTTATAAGATTTAGTATAAATCATAAATCTTATAAAGAAATATTCTCTCTTAAGATATTTTAACATCTAAAATTGGCATTTTTCTTACTAAATATAACAATTTAGTCATTTTATTTTGCATCTGTGAAGAATTACTGTTAATGACTTGAAAAGCATTTCTTTAGAATTAATGGTAAACACTATTGCAGAATTTCCTGAGCCCTTTATTCATTAGTATGAATCACTGAGAATTTCATTTCTATTTATAAAATACTTTCTTTAACAGTCTATTTATGACATAAAAAGATAAATCTGCATTTGTAAAGTGATGGATGATTTTCTTCTATCCCACGTATGTAGTGACCTAGAGCATTGTCATTCATGATCTCTACACTCTGTCTTGATAAATAAAAAAAGTAAAACAATCTGCTTTTGAGATTGCACTGTTCGAATGTAGCCAAAGAAGGGAAAAGCCAGAGAGGAATGCTTGTGTCATCATCTGCCACTGTTATGACTCAGAGGGCCCATCCACAACTGAGAACACCATTCTTTGTGAAGCTGATATATTTGGTGGATTACAACAATGGCACACTGCTTCAGACCCAAAGAAAGAGTAGTGCATTCTCTGTTACATGTGGGTTCAGTATGTGTAGGTACTATGATGTTTCTACCCACAGAATACTTCTGATGCCTGATGTGTGGAGGTTTCTTCACATCAGTGACCAATTCGCCAACTCTCCAGACACCAAGTAGAAGTCTAACAATTAAATTCTGTTCTGACACTAACTACCTGGAGGTAGCACGAGACCGCCCTGATGAAGGGCTCATTCCCAAACCTTCTGTATTTCCAACTGACTGGTATAAATCAGAGATCCTCACAACCCCTCTTCATGTTTAATGATTTGGAAACTCACAGAACTCAGGAAAAACAATTTACTTACTGTTACCACTTTATTTTAAAGGATACAACAAAAATATGCAAATGAACAACAGATGAAAAGGTACACAGAGCGAGGTCCAAAAAGGTCCTGAGCACAAGAGCTTTGACGATAGGGTTCACCAACCCAGAAGCTCCTCAAACCTCATTGTTCAGAGTTTTATCAAGGCTCCATTATGTAGGCATTATTGATAAAAGCATTGGCCACTGGTGATTGACTCAATGTCTAGCCACTCTCCCCTCTCCAGTGGCCTAGGGCTGGGGCCACAAGTTCCAAACCTCTAGCCATGTCTTGATCTCTCTGGTGAAAAGCCCCCATTCTAAAGCTACAGAGGAACACCGAGCCACCAGTCATCTTAATAGCATGCAAAAGATACTCTCATTACTCTGGAAATTCCAAGAGCCTTAGAAACTGCTATGTCAGGACCTGGAAACTAAGATCAAATATTATAGCGAAAGATACTTATATCATCCCTATCACTCAGGATATTAGAAGGGCTTAGGAGCTTTCTGCTGGGAAACTGGCTCAAAAGCCAAATTGCAAATGTATTATTACATAATATATTATATTATGACATTATTATATCACAGTATAAACAGAAGATCCAGATAGTGAGAATACTTCATTTTATACCTAAAAGAAAGTGAATAAGTCTTGTTTTGGTATCATGGAATTTATGGCCTTCTTTTTCAGTAAATGGCAATAGGCTGTGGCTCATATCAACAATCTGGAAATTGTCCTAGTCCATGTCCTCTTTCTCATCATTCACTGTTTCAATAAAACCAGAAATTCCAGTTAATTGTAACACTTAACATAATTCTCAAATATCCATAATTCTCTCACTTGCATCGGCATTAATAGGACATGTACTACCACTCTTTTGCTTCTGGGCAATAGCAATCTCTTAATATTCACTTTTGATACTTTCATACAAAAATATCTAACAGTTTTTAAATAAGGAGATAATTATACTTCTTTACTTTTTAAAACCCTTTGATGAATGTCCATCTTTTCTTGGTTGAAAGCTAAAACTCTTAAAAAATCACAAAGCCTCAATAATTCACTTTAATATAACTTTCCAACCTTACTTTCTAACATTATTTTTCTGTATTATCATGCTTTGGCCCCATTGACCTTTTAACCTGAAGTATACCAACTTTTATTTCTCATAGTTCCCTTACATTGTATTATTCCCTCTGCTTAAAATTCTGTTCACACAACCCTTGTAGTGTCTAATTCCTGCTCATGCCTCAGATCTAGGCAGCAAAGTAATATACTTAGAAGAGCTTTCTTTTCTTGGCCATAAAAAATTTGGTGACTGTTCTAATGTTTTTATTATACATGGTATTTTCCTTTATGCCATGTACATTCAAATTTATTTGTTTAAAATCTGTCCTTCCTGGTAGATTGTAATCTGTGTGAGTTCAAGAAATCTGTCTTGTCAATAGCAGATTGTATAATACATAGCAGATCCTCAAGTAATATTAAATTATATGATTAAATATTAAATTAGTCAATATAAATAGGATGCTAAGTAAGGGATAAATTGTCAGCTGATCATACAATATATGTGTCTCTGGATATCTAACTCTATTTCTAATCCAGGTGGTTATAATAATTGGTTGATAGCTACTAAGAAATCTTTAATTTCTCTTACTTTTGACAGAAGAAAGAGTAGAATGATTTTGTTGCTTAAAATATATGGATAAAATATATATAAAACAAATTTTTATAAAACAAAATATTCTAATAACCAAAATATATTAAAAAGTTTAGTCTACAATAGCATCTTATTCATACTCCATTTTTAATTTTATTTTCCAACTTTTACTAAAACCTAGAAAAAGATTCAATTTATGTTTATACCAAAAAACAATTCAGGCACCAATATACATCTGGTATCTATATGAAGTTTCCTCTAATTACAATATTAATGACATATTGTATTTCTTTTTTTTTTTAGTGTGGCAATTACATATATAATACCCAGTGCTAAAACAGAATTGGCAGATACATATATTAAAATAATTATTATAACAACTATATATGTTCAAAGTGTTAAGTAGAGGCATGAAATATGTTCAACTTGGGCCTTTTTAAGACATATTGTATTTCAATGAGCATCACATCTGGCAGATGTCTTGCTTTCCTACTTGAAACAGAATAGATTGTGATTGGAAAAATTTGAATTTGTAGTAACCCTAAAACTAGGTAGTTTTCTCTTACATACATGTTTATTTCTTCAGGTGAACAATTTTTTCTGTCTCAATATGTACAACAATGTATACTTTGAAATATCAATTCCCATAGTTTAGTTTTATGGTATATAGATATTTTGGGGAGACACATTCCAGTTAGGGAGACAGAAATCTCCAAAATAATTTGGAGATTTATTTATTTCTTATGCACATATTTATTTCTTAAGGTGAACAATTTTTCTCTCTCAGTATGTACAACAATGTATATTTTGAAATATCAATTCCCATAATTTAGTTTTATGGTATATAGATAGTTTTGGGTGTATACATTGCATTTAGGGAGACAGAAATCTCCAAAATAAAATGTTGCGGGAAAAATACGGATAAGAATGCATTTAGGGAGACTGTAATTTTCTCTGTATTTAATATGTTAGAGCAACATGGAACAAGAGTATTTCTACATAAAATCTTTATAGCCGTTATATCATGGGTCCTAATTTGTAAATATAGATGTGCCATCCACTTAATAACTGACAAAGGAATCCCACAAATATTCAAATGTAAATTTACTCTGTATTCCATGTTTATCTTAATTGATGTTATATGAGTGCTTCATTCCAAAAGTAACAGAATGCTATTATTTGACAATGTGCTTTTATTCTTAAGTTCTATAATTTGAGATAAATCAGAATTTGGCAAAGTACAATCCACAGATCATTAAACTAAGTTTTATTGGAACATAGCCATGCTCATTCATTTATATGTTAGTGACAACTAGTTTAGCTACGACAGTAGAGCTAAGTAGTGGTGACAGAGACCTTATGCTTAAATAAATCTTCCCAAATCCAAACAATCTTTAAAAAAAAAAACTCGAGTTACCTGGGTCAACATTCTTAATAGATGATTACAAAGATATAGCACAGTTGGCTTTTTTTTTCAGACTTCTTTAGAAGTTTCCTTTTCATTTTTTCAAGGCTGTTTTAATAGTTTTCTCAGTATTTTTTCAGTCTCTACTAACATTTCTTTTCTACTGTCATCCACCTCAAAGCCAAAGCCACATATTTTATGTTTTTGTATGGTAGCACTCCTTTTTTGGAACCCATTTCTGCATCAGTTATCTACTGCCACAATTATGGTACATAACAAATCTGTGCAAAAATTAATGATGCCAACCAATGAGCATTTATTTATCTCATCTGGCTGTGTTTCACCATTTAGAATGAGTAGCTCTTCAGGTTTTAATCTGGCTCACTAATCTTTCTGGATTTTAGTAGACTGTCAACTGGGATACCAGGGGATACTGGGACACCTGTGTTTCATTTGTCACATACGAGCTAATACGGTGATCATAACAGTGTTAGAGAACAAGAATGAGCGTGGAACCACATGCTTTTTTAATCCTATACATGGATCACGTCTGCTGACATCCCTTTTGTCAAGCACATAACTTGGCTGAACTCAGAATCAAGGGACTCACAATTACACTTTGCCTCACTGGTGAAAAGAACTAGGAAGTTACATGGCGGAAAGTGTAGTTACAAGCCCATTGCTAGGATTTGACTGTATCCCCTAAAAGTCCATGTGGTGAAAACTCAATTGCCAATGTAACAGTATCAAGTGGTGGGGCTTACAGGGTGACTGGGTCATGGGGGCAGAGCTCTCATGAATGAATTAATGCTTTCATCTGGGGGCTGAGTTAGTCCTCACAAGAATAAATTAGTTCTCCTGGGGAGGGGTTAGTTATCACAAGTGCAGTTTGTTGTAAAAGTGAGTGTGGCTTCCTGAGATTTCTCTTACTCCTTCTCTTGTCATGTGATCCCTTCCATTTTTCTGCCATGTTATGAAGCGGCACAGAGCTCTCACCAGATGCAGACACCAAATCTTGGACTTCCCAGCCTCTAACTGGACTAAATAAACCTCTATTCTTTATGAAAGACCCAGTCTCAGGTATTTTGTTACTCCAACAGAAAATAGACTAAGACAAAAAGTTGGTCCCAAGAAGTGGTGTTGGTGCCAAAACAATACCTGAAAATATGGGAGTTACTTTAGAACTGAGCAATTGGTGGAGGCTGGAAGAATTTTGAGGGGCAGGCTGTAAAAAGCCTAGAATTTCATAAGGGGAGCATAAAGGATGTTTCTTCTGAGGGCTCAGAAAAAGACAAGAGGACAAGGGAAAGTCTAAACCTCTTTAGAAATTGCTTAAGTGGTTGTGATCAAAATTTTGATGGAAATATAAACAGTAAAGACTATCCTGTTGAGGTCTCAGATAGAAATGGGAAATATCTTGTTGGAAGCTGAAAGAAATACCATCCTTGTTATAAAATCTGGCAAAGTTCTGTCCATTTCTAAGGACTTTGTGGAAGGAAGAATTTAAGAGTGCTGAACTAGGATTTTTAGTGGAAGAAATATCTAAGCAGCAAAGTGTTCAAGAAGCTGCATGGCAGCCTTTGGCTCCGTCTAATCATTTGGGAGAGCAAAGAGATGACAGAACTTATAACTAAAAGGGAAACAAAGTAGAGAGATTTGGAAAATTTTTAGCCTGGCCACGTGAAGAGTGAAAAGGCATATTCAGAACACAGAGCTCAAGATGTGGCCCAGTTACTAAAGAGATTAATATGGCTGGAAGGGAGCCAAGTGCTTATCATCAGTACTAATAACCAGGAGGAAAGACCCAGAAAGCTTTTCAGAAATCTTGGAGGTTGCCCTTTACATCACAAGCTGAGAATGTTAAGGTTTGAGAGCAGAAAGAGTTCACTGCCCTGAGCTGCCTTGAGTCCCTGCTTCCTGCATCCTGAAGCAGCATTCCTTCAATACTATAGCTATGGCTCCAGAGGCCCCAGGTACAGCTTGATTCACTGTCCCAACACACTAAAGCTGGAAACCTTGGTATCACTACATCAAAGCTGAAGCAAACCTAGATATGGCTCATTCCACTAATCCAGAGGCCACAAATAGTAAGCCTTTGTGTTGTCCATGAGGTGCTAATTCTGAAGGCATTCAAAGTGTACAGGATGCAAAATCCAACTAGATTTCAAAGGATGTATCAAACAGCTCTCAGACCCAGGCAGAAACTTGTAACGGGGTAAAGTCATAACAGAGAGTTACCACCAGGGCAATGCAGAGCAGATATATGGGGTTGGAGCTACTGTATAGAATCTCCACCAGGGCAGTGCACACTGGAGCCACACAAGCAGAACTGCTGCTAGAAAGCAAGAACTGTAGAGCTACCAGTGTGCAATGCCAGCATGCAACAAAGCCTCAGGCAACTGATTTCTCCCCAGGAGAGCAGTCATGTGGGGTGCAACCAGAAAAGCCATGAGACCCAGATTGCCCGAGGCCTCGAGGGACCAACTTTCTCCCAAGTATGTCCAGGAAGGGACACATGGGGTGAAATATTATTCTCTAGCTTTAAGACTTATTTTTTTTTCCTGTTGAGTTTTGGACTTACTTTGGACATGTTTCTTCTTTCTTCTTACCTACTTTTTCCATTTTGAATGGGAATATCTGCCCTCTGCCAGTATCACCATTATATTTTTGAACATAACATGACAAAACATAACTTAAAAAAAAATTTACAGGCTCTTAGAAAGAGGCAAATTGGACTAAGGATGAATTGTGCTTTGAGTCTCAGAAGAGACTCTAGATTTTGCACTTTTAAGTTGGTGCTGGAAAGAATTATGAATTTGGGACTATTAGGATAGAATATATACATTTTGTACTGTGAAATGATGTAAATTTTAGAGACTGGGGTGGAATGCTATGCTTTGAATGTGTTCCCCAAAACTTTATGTGTTGAAAATTTAATTGCCAATATAACAGTATTAAGAGATGGGGCATTAAAGAGATGACTGAGAGAGGCCAGTTATGAGATTTTGTTCTTATAAAATCCACTTTGGCTTCCTCAGTTTTCTCTTGTTTCCTTTCACTTTTCCTCCATGTTATGAAGCAGCACGAGGGTCTTACTAGATGCAACCACCTGATTGGACTTTCTAGCCTCCAATATTGTAAGCTAAATAAACATCTATTCTTTGTCAATTACCCAGTCCGAGGTATTCCATTACAGCAACAGGAAACAGACTAAAACACCCATTATTGCAGACTACACACCATTCACAAGCCTCAGTGCAAACCATGTTCTATCTCACCTACAAAATTTTTTTGTCCTTCTAATGTTTATAACATAAATACTCTGTCTGACAGCAGATAGTTCAAAGAGAGAATGAGGCACACATGCTCATTTTCTTTTCTCACTATCCTGCGGGCAGAACCATTACAGAAATAGACACTGAGTCAGAGAGTAGAGAGACCAAAAACATTAATCTGATACATATATATGAGATACATGTTATTCCATTTAAATTTAATCTTAGTTATTTTAAATAGCTGGGGATTTTGGGAATCCCATTCACTCTATCTTACTGTGTATTGTTCTGTAAGGCATCGTATTTGCATTATTGCATGTTTCTTCTTCTTGATCTAGGAACTTTAAAAATTGAGACATGTCTTTTTATCTTAGAGTTTCTGTGACTTAGTTGAAGAACCTATAAAAGTTATGTTGTACAAATGCATTACTTAATGGTAACTTTGCTTTAATGAAGGGGATATTTGAAGTATAATAGATTTCTATTATAATGTGAAAACCTAGAAATAATAAGGGGCACAGGAAATTTTGGGTTAGTTTGATAAGGGTGCACTTAGCTTGGGTTCTCCAGAAGCCAGAGCCATTGACATGGAGCTTGTGTATATTGTTTTATGCGATAATACAGTTCCATGAATGAAGGATAAAAAATAAGAAAATCAAATCAAGAAATGAGAGACAGTCCATGAAGATATATTATCAAGTTGTCTTCTACCATGCAGGTGATTGATGGTCTGATATGTGAGACCACGCCCCTGAGAAACCATATAAACTGTGTCTCACAAGTGTTTATAAGGAGCAAAAATGGAGAAGAATTTGTCTACTTGCCCATTAACTCCTATACCACAATGGTCAAGTTTTAGCTCCTGGAGTTTTAGCTTCCCTGACATATCAGGATTGTGCATATTGGGCTAGACCTGTGTGGGCCACCCTACTGTGTCTAAGGACATAGAGCATTGTGGACAGCATCAGCAGTGTAGCCCCCAGCCAAGATGTGATAGCTATATGTGGAAGACAGAAGTGGAGGTGGAATCTGTCTGTTCTCCCTCCAAGCTAGAGCAAGAGACAGTTGCCTCTGACATGATCAGCGGTCAGTCTGAATAAAAGTTTTTATATCAGATTGTCACAGACAAGTAAAAGGTAAAATTCACCAAATTTATCTTTTGATGATGTAACAGTCATCAATTTGTTAGTATATTAATTCATCAAACATTCATTGGTCATCTACATAGTGCTAGACATGATACTGGACACTAAGTAGATGTGTTGATAAAAGGCATATCAAGGACTTGTAAGTTTTACCTGAGGGAGAAACTGTGCTTTGAACAGCATTAACAAGTTACTTTTTTTATTTTTATATTTTAAGTTCTGGGATACATGTGCAGAACGTGCAGGTTTGTTACATAGGTATACATGGTTTGTTATATAGGTGCCATGGTGGTTTGCGGCACCCATCAATCTGTCATCTACATTAGGTATTAGGAGAAATACCTAACAAGTCAATTTTAATCAATGTTGAATGTTAGGCAGAAAAAGGAAGACACTTCTGTGTGAAGAATAAGTGGGTATACCTTTTAGAATGAATATCAAGCATATCAGCAAAATTAACATTCTGAATAAACTGGAGACACTACAAAAGCCTATGAAAGATAGAACTGAAGGAAATGTCAGTGATTCAACCAGAAGTACCAAAGAATGTGTAGGCTTTGCATGTGCAGGTGTCAAAACATAGTGTCAACGAAATGAAATCAAACAATATTTTATTCTTTTGCAATAAAATTTCGGGTAATAGAGCAACAATCATGAATTCTAAATAAGAGCCAATGCATAAGGCAAAACATTGCAATTGCTACATTAAATGGATACAGCATACATTGAAAACTATTATGTAAGACAGTTGCTATATCAAATAATTTGTTTTTAATTTGCTTCTGGTTGGCCTGGACTATAACAATTTTGATAACTGCATTTATGTAACAATAATTTAGAAAGAATAAAATTACTTGACTATCTTTATATTTGGATAAGGGAGAAACAAAACAAGTCTGTTTTATATATACAAATGGAAAAAGCATCAAGACTTAAAATACTCTCTCTGCAAAATGCCAATATTAAATAGCAGAGGGACCAAAATAGATTTGGCATACAGAGGGCACAAAATTCACCTAAATTATTTGGCTTATAGAGCCTGAAAGAAAAACTGAAGGGGTAAAAATCAGACTATATATGGGACCATTGAAATGGGAAGAGACTTAGTGTGGTCCTATGGGTTTCAAAGACTTTTTTTACATTTTTGAATTTACTGTGTGTGTTATGGTGAACCTGACACAGGTGTTTCTTCCAGCTTATCACATATAAAACATTTCTACAGGACCTATATAGAAATTAGATAAATGTGTTCATATATATGAAGAGTCATTTGTATGATTCCCTGTCCCCCAACTTTCTTTTTCTTCATTAAATATCTTGGTAGGGTAATGAGAAAAATACAAGTAATGTATCTGCAAGCTGAGTGAGTTTTCTCTTTTATATGTCTCTCCATGGTCAAATTGAGGCCCTTACTTATATGAAATTCATTCAGTGTTTCCAGTTCAATTTCAGTAAATGAGATCCTATCATGTGGCTACCACATACTACTTTAGTATAGTTTCATTTGACAGATGGTCATTGTTCAGGAACACAATTTTTTCTCCTTTGACAATACTTAGGGACTGAATTTCCTCTTATATGTTAAATTTAGCATTAGGAAGATTTTAATATATATAGCAACATATGCAACATAGTGATGGCCCATCTTTTTGAGATTCAAGAGCACAGTATGGCAAAATGTTTAAAATATATCAACACCCTGAGTGATGGTAAATAAATGTTTATTGCTCCCATGTGAAAAGCTCAAGTTGCAGTAAATAAGATCTATTTTAATTATCCAAAAATTGGTTGCTATTTGTGACAATTTATATTGCAATGCAACATGCAGGAATAACATAATTTGAAACATAAATGTGATATCATGTTTCTACAGATAAAAATATATACCTAGAAATTAAAGGTTTGCAAATAAATACCACTATTTACAACTTGTACTTCTATGAGATACTTCACTCATAAGCACCTCCTCTGCTACAAAAAAGCGTATTTTCATTCCTAACTTATTATCGTTAAATAAGACATCTTCTATATAATAAGAAAACCACCTTGTTTGCATAAATACATTATTACAGTCCTTAATAGATTTGCTTTACAATTGATGAGAGTATAAAACATGCCCTAAGTTTCTTGTCAGTGTAGTATTTTTTCTTTACTTTTCAATTATTATACAAAGAAAATCTTATTATAATCTGCTCTTTGTTCTTCATCTAGTTAAGCACGGGTATTACTACTGGTTTCAGTATTGAGAATTTGAGTGCACAAAAGATTGTCAGTTCAAAGGGTTTTCAACTAATGAAACAGAGAAATACCATTGGTTAGAAGCTGAAGTGTTATATCATTAACAAGACCTTCAGAACAGTTATCTTATTTAAAAAAACTGGGGCAGGCTTTGTTAACTTATATAATTTTTAAATGTTTAAAAATGAGCAACGATGAAAACATTGTTATCGAAAATTAGCAAGCCTGTTTCTTGTTATTCTACAGATCTTTGGAAGGGTATTTATGTGTATGTGTGTGTGTGTCTGGGCCTGTGCATGCTTATCTTTTAAGTAATATATTTGTGCATCTCTATTTTTTCTAGTTCTTTCTGAAAATATGGGAAAGGAAATGAGTAGGAACACCTTATAGATGCCTCTCTATAATCCCTGAAGTATAATTATTATTAAAAGTAATAGCCAGAATCCAGCATATTTAAAAAATATATTTATTCATGTAGCATAATAGCAACTTTATTCCCTCTAAACCCTTTAAGTTGACTTCTATGAATTTCCTAAATTTGACTACATGAGTTAGTAAATTGTTCTTCAATAATCCTTGCAAGGATTACAGTGGCTCAGTATGAAACTATATACTAAACATATATTACATATTCTTAAAAATGATTTTTTTCTGAAAACTATATCTAGGTTTCTCATGAAAGAATTAAATCAGAAATAAAAAAGTATATTTCACCATGCAGTATTTGCCTTCTTTTTCCATATTCTTTAAAATACAATGTGATATCCTATATGTGAGTTCTAAGTACATTCCTTTTATTTAAAAACAAAAACCTATTCTGCTCACTCTATGGTCTTTTACCTAATCCCCAAATTATCACTGTGGGTCCTTATTGCTTCCTACTTAATCTGATTATCTCAACCTACTTTATTCTAATGTTATGAAAATAAACAGTATTGATCTTCTCTTACTATAGTCTTCAGATTTTTTGAGGGTTTATGTTTAAACAAAAAGGCAATAAGAAGTGGAATGGGTTAAATATAGGTAACATAAACTGAACAAGTATATAATGCTAAAACGCAAAATATCTGTTAGTGGATAAGATAAGAGTATCAAAGTGGATTTAACCTCCCATCTGAAACAAATAAAAATGCAGACAAAATACATAAAATGATGGTTTCTAAGATAATGAACATCAGGCAACAAAGAACAATGATTACTGAAAGAAGGCAAACAAGTGAGGTGTGTGTACTGTGATTGCCACAGCCCAATACCAAGACAGAGTTTTTAGGCAGTAAAAGAGAATAGAATCTAGGTGAAGCTTAGTAATCTTACTGAGTTGAAGACACAAAGCTGGAAGTTTGAAGAGAACAAAGAGAGAGACAGAATTAGAGAAAGAGAGAGTGATATCTGAGGAACTTCACAGAATCTTTTTTGAGCCTTCAGCTAAATACTTATTAGAGCACATGTCTAAGAAAATTAACAGAGGCTAGCAAAATAACTACCTGAAAGGATTAGAGGGAGAAATGTCCCAAACTCTCAGAGGGGTGAGAATATTTCCTGACATCACTCTTGAGGGTGAAAAAAATTAGTAATTCATGCAGTATCAGGTATAGTATGTGGAAGAATTACTCTTCTGTGGTGGTGAAAATTAGTTTAAGACCAAATGCTATTCTAATCCTACCTAATCAAAATGCCTGCATAGCCAAAACAATCCTAAGCAAAAAGAACAAAGCTGGAGATATCACCCTACCTGAATTCAAACTATACTACAAGGCTACAGTAACCAAAACAGCAAGGTAACGGTACCAAAACAGATACATAGACCAATGGAACAGAACAGAGACCTCAGAAATAGTGCCACACATGTACGACCATCTGAACTTTGACAAACATGACAAAAATATGCAATGGGGAAAGGATTCCCTATTAATAAATGGTATTATAAAACTGGCTAGCCATATGCAGAAAGCTGAAACTGGATCCCTTCCTTACACCTTATTATGAAAATGCTCAAACTTTTAAAGTTGCAAGAATAATATAATAAAAACTCTTAGGATCCATTTTGAATGGATCCATATCTTATGCTTTCCCTGATTTAGACCTGGAATTAGCCTCAGTTTCTTCCAGTATCTAAAAATACTTAGTGGATGTATGATGGTAGTTTAGAGAACACTAGGCACTAGGGGTGCTCATTACTGCTAGGGTGCCTTTGTCTATATGTTCTTTCATACATATCAATCAAGAGTTTACACTGATATTTCCTTTTCACATTTAATATTACAATGTTAAAAGTTAAGTTTTATTCAAGTTTTCTGATTTTATATCTTTCTTGTTTACATAAAAATCATGTTTTACAACAATTCATATAATTACTTATTTGCTTTAACTACAATATTGCTAATGGAGTTTCAATATGACAATAATTTTGCTAACAATACAGCTGCTTGCTTTGCAGTTTCAGTGTCCTTATAGTAAATCTCACTCGTAGAATTAGGCTTATTTGCTTCTGTTTTCAATTTTAATAATTTTTTCCTTTGATTTTTTTAAAGTGTGAAACATTTTCAATGTTAGAATCCATCTTTAACAATTAACAGGAATCAATCAGATATAATCATCTAAATCTATGTTAGTCAAAATGTGGTAAAACAGTATCATCAATATATAGGAGCTCAGTAGAAATGCAGAATCTTAGGCTTCATCCTGTGTCTATTGAATCAGACTGTACAATTTTTAATATATCCCTAAGTGATGTGTATGCTCTCTGAAGTTTGAGAAAGAGTAATCTAGACTAGGGATTCTCAACCTAGGCAACACATAAGAACTATCTGGGAATATTTTTTTTAAATCACAATGCCCAGGCTCTCTACCAGCTGAATTAATTCAGAACCTCCAGGGGTGAGACCCAGGAATCTGCATTAAAGTGAACAGCTGAGTTGAGAATCTCTTATATAGGTTCTGTTACTTAGAGTAAGAATCTCTATCCTTGTAGAACCATTAAAATTTTCAGTTCAATAAAATAACATTAGTTTTTGAACATTGTGTATTTTTCATTTATTTGTAAATTATTTGACATTGTATTTGATGAAATGTATGAAAAAAAAGTTTTCTTTCCATGGAATATAAAACAACTTAACTATCTTTAATACATAAGTGAGAGAGTTTTAATTTATAAGTTAGTGATCCAACATATATTGTTGCTATGCTACTACTAGATATGATTTATTGGGTAACATATTTCATAAGCTACAGCAGGTATGATATCTCATTTTAATCCTTAGGAAAACTATGATGTAAAATCTAGAAGTTAATATGAGATTTGAGATTGAAGTGTGTGTGTGTTAGCTTAATAATTTGCCCTAACTCATACAACTAGTAAACATAGAACTGGTTACAAAACCCATATCCATGAGTCTCTTAAATCTTTGATTTTTGCATGCTATAGTACTACTTTTATGCCCTCTGAGTTCCATTGGGGCTTCCACGTGTGCTCACACTTGGGGAGCCAGACTGCAGACTTGTCTGATCCAGCCCTCACCCAGCTTTGCCCCTTTACCTGCCTTGGTAGCAGAACACAGAGACTTTTGAGAGTTCCACAGCCCCTCC
Organism: Homo sapiens; assembly: GCF_000001405.40. Lineage (NCBI taxonomy): Eukaryota > Metazoa > Chordata > Mammalia > Primates > Hominidae > Homo > Homo sapiens. The sequence goes on along the minus strand of NW_013171800.1, from coordinate 23,481 downwards.
CATCACCTGTGACATCTGAGTACTTCCCCTAACTAAAGTGAAACAAAAGCACCAAACAACTTATAAGGAAAACCTATTATGCTACTGGCAGACTTCTCATGCAGAAACCTTACAAACCAGAAGGGATTAGGGTCCTATCTTTATAGTCCTCAAACAAAACAACTGTCAACAAAGAATTTTATAGGCTACAAAAGTAATTTTCATAAATGAAGGAGAAGCAAAATCTTCCCCCTACAAGCAAATACTTAGAGAATGTTCCACCTCTAGACCAGTCCTATAAGAAACACTCAAAGGAGTTCTACACATTGAAATTAAGGATATATGCACCAGTATAAAACACTTGAAAATATAAAACTTACAGGGCTTATAAAACAATGTAATCAACAAAGTAAATAGACAACAACCAACTTGATGACTGTAACAGTACCTCAACACATGAATACTAACTTTGAATGTAAATGGCCTAAATGCCCTTCATTAAAGAAATAAATTGTAAGAATGGACTTAAAAAAAGCAAAATAAATGTTGGCTTCAAGAGACCCACTTAACTCATAAAGATTTTTATAGACTCAAGGTAAAAAGGTGTAAAAAAATATGCAACACAACTGAAAACCAAAATCATGCAGGAGTATCTATTCCTATATTAGATAAAACAGACTTTCAAATGAGTAAGAGAAAAAAAATAGAGAAAGTCATTATATAGTGATAAAGGAATCAATTCAACAAGAGATACAGCAATCCTAAATAGATATGCACCTAACACCAGAGCTCCCAGATTCATTAACTACCACTAGACCCAAGAAAAGAGATAGATAGCAGTACAATAATAGTGATGACCTCAACATCCCTCTGACAGCACTAGACAGATTATCAAGGCAGAAAGTCAATAAAGAAACACTAAACTGGATTTTAGAAAAAAATGTACCTAACATATATTTATAGCACATACTACCCAAAAACTAACAAATTATACATACTTCTTAGCACACGGAATATTTTCTAAGATAGACCATATGACAGACCACAAAATGAGTCTCAATAAATACAAAACAAAAAAGAAATCCTATCAAGTATCTTCTTAGACAACCATGAAATTAAATTTAAAATCAATTTTAAGAATTCTCAAAACTATACAATTACATGAAAATTTTAAGAATCTGTTCATGAACAATCTTTGGGTCAATGAAAAAAATAAGCTGAAAATTGTTAAAGTTTTCAAAATGAATGATAACAGTGACAGAAGTTATCAAAATCTCTGGGATACAACAAAAGAAGTAGCAAGAGGCAAGTTTATGGTTCCAAATGCCTGCACCAAAAAGACAGAACAATCACAAACTGGTAACCTAATATCACACCTCAAGGAACTATAAAAACAAGAACAAACCAAACCCAAGGATGGCAGGAGAAAAGAAACAAATATGGGGCTGGGTATGGTGGCTCACGTCTGTAATCCCAGCACTTGGGGAGGCTGAGGTGGGTGGATTACGAGGTCAGGAGATCGAGACCATCCTGTCTAACATGGTGAACCCTGTCTCTACTAAAAATACAAAAAAAAAAATAGCCAGGTGTGGTGATGGGTGCCTGTAGTCCCAGCTACTTGGGAGGCTGAGGCAGGAGAATGGTGTGAACCCGGGAGGCAGAGCTTGCAGCAAGCTGAGATCATGCCACTGCACTCCAGCCTGGGTGACAGAGCAAGAGCAAGACTCCATCTCAAAAAAAAAAAAAAAAAAAAAAAAAAAGAAACAAATATTAGAGCAGAACTAAATAATATTGAAAGCAAAAGACCAATATAAAAGATCAATACAATAAAAAAACATTGTTTTAAAGTAAAATAAAAATTGATAGGTCACTGGCTAAAATACCAAGCAAAGAAGAGGGAAGATTCAAGTAAGCTCAATAAGAAATGAAAATGAAGACATTACAACTCATAGTACAGCAATACAAAACAATCATCTGAGACTATTATGAACATCTTTATGCATTACATACTAGAAAATCTAATAAAAATGGATAAATTCCTGAAAACATACAACCCCCCAAACTTGAATCAGAAAGAAACAGAAACCCTGAACAGATAAGTAACAACTAATGATATTAAATTAGTAATAAAAAGCCTCCCAACAACAAGAAAAAGCAAAGGATCAGATGGATTTACTGCCAAATTTTACCAGACATTAAAAGAAGCAGTCACATGAATCTTACTAAAATTATTCCAAAAAAAAGATCAGGAAGGAGGGAATCCCTCACTAATTCATTCTACAAAGTCATTATGACCCTGAGAGTGATACTGGGTCAGGAAAGCACACAATAAAAAAGAAAACTACAGCCCAACATCCCTGATGAACGTAGATGTAAGATTTCTCAAAAAAAAAAAAAAAAAGCTAGCGAAGTGAATCCACCAGCACATCAAAATGATAATTCATCATAAACAATTGGGTTTCATCCCAGGGATGCAAGGACTGTTCAGCATAGACAGGCCAATGAATGTGATTCACCACGTTAAGAGAATTAAAAACAGAAACCATATTATTTCCCCAGATACAAAAAAAAAGCATTTAATAAAATCCAGCATCCTTTCATGATCAAAACCCTCAACAAACTAGACATAGAAGGTACACACCTTGAAATAATGAAAGCCATATGTATTAGTTCGTTTTCACACTGCTGATAAAGATATACCTGAGACCGGGCAACTTATAAAAGAAAAAGTTGTAATGGACTTACAGTTCGACATGGCTGCAAATGCCTCACAATCGTAGTGCAAGGCAAGGAGGAGCAAGTCACATCTTACATGGATGGCAGCAGGCAAAGTAAGAGCTTGTGCAGAGTTTTTTTAAAACTATAAAATCTCGTGAGACCCATTCATTATCATGAGAAGAGCATGGGAAAGACCTGCCCCCATGATTCAATCATGTCCTTTCGGGTCCCTGACACAACACTTGGAAATTATGAGAACTACGAGATGAGATTTGGGTGGGGACATAGGAGCCAAACTATATCTTTCCATGCCTGGCCACTCCCAAATCTCATATCTTCACATTTCAAAACCATCCTGCCTTCCCCATAGCACCCCAAACTCTCAACTCATTTCAGCATTAACTTAAAAGTCTGCAGTCCAAAGTCTCATCTGAGACAAGGCCAGTCCCTTCTGACTATGAGCCTGTAAAATCAAAAGCAAATCAGTTACTTCATAGATACAATGGGGGTATAGGCATTGGGTAAAGACAGCCATTCCAGATGGGAGAAATTGGCCAAAACAAAGGGGCTACAGGTCCCAAGTAAGCCCTAAATTCAGCAGATCAGTTGAATCTGAAGACTCCAAAATGGTCTCCTTTGACTCCATGTCTCAGATCCAGGTCATGCTGATGCAAGAGGTAGGTTCCCATAATCGTGGGCAGCTCTGCCCCTGTAGCTTTGCAGGGTATAGCACTCCTTCTGGCTACTTTCAGGAGCTGGTGTTGAGTATATGCATCTTTTCCAGGTGCACAGTGCTAGCTGTTGGTGGATCTACCATTCTGGGATCTGGAGGATGGTGGCCCTCTTCTCAAAGCTCCCCTAGGTGGTGTCCCACTAGGGATACTGTGGGGGGCTCCAACCCCACATTTCCCTTTCAGACTGCCCTAGCAGAAGTTCTCCATGAAAGCCCTGCCCCTGCAGCAAACTTCTGCCTGGACATCCAGGTGTTTCCATACATCCTCTGAAATCTAGATGGAGGTTTTCAAACCCCATTTCTTAACTTCTGTGCACTGGCAAGCTCAACACCATGTGAAAGCTGCCAAGGCTTGAGGCTTTCACCCTCTAAAGCCACAGCCCAAGCTCTATGTTGGCCCCTTTCAGCCATGGCTGAAGTGGCTGAGACACTGGGCACCAAGTCCCTAAGCTACACACAGCAGGGAGACCTTGGACCCAGTCCACAAAACCAGTTTTTTCCTTCTAGACCTCCAGGCCTGTGAAGGGAGGGGCTGCTGTGAAGACCTCTGACATGCTTTGGAGACATTTTCACCATTGTCTTGGGGATTACCATCCAGATCCTCGTTACTTATGCAAATTTCTGCAGCTGGCTTAAATTTCTCCGCAGAGAATGGGATTTCCTTTCCTATCGCATTGTCAGGCTGCAAATTTTCCAAACCTTTATGCTCTGCTTTCGTTATAAAATTGAATGCCTTTAACAACACCAAAGTCACCTCTTGAATGCTTTGCTGCTTAGAAATTTTTTCTGCCAGATACCCGAAATTGTCTCTCTCAAGTTCAAAGTTCCACAAATCTCTAGGGCAGGGGCAAAATGCCACCAGTCTCTTTGCCAAAACATAACAAGAGTCACTTTGCTTCAGTTCCCAGAAAGTTCCTCATTTCCATCTGAGAATATCTCAGCCTAGACCTTATTGTCCATATCACTATCAGCATTTTAGGCAAAGCCATTCAACGAGTCTATAGGAAGTCCCAAATTTTCTCAAATTTTCTTGTCTTTTCTGAGTCCTTTAAACTGTTACAACTTCTGCTTGTTACCTAGTTCCAAAATTGCTTCCATATTTTCAGATATCTTTTCAGCAGTACCCCACTCTACTGGTACGAATTTACTGTATTAATTCATTTTCATGCTGCTGATAAAGACATACCAAAGACTGGGCAATTTATAAAAGAAAGAGGTTTAATGGACTTACAGTTCCATGTGGCCAGAGAGGCCTCACAATCATAGTGAAAGGCACTTCTTACATGGTGATGGCAAGAGAGAGAATGAGAGCCAAGTGAAACGGGTCTCCCCTTATCAAACCATCAGATCTCGTGAACTTATTCACTAACACAAGAACAGTATGGGAGAAACCACCCCCATGATTCAATTATCTCCCACCGGGTCCCTCCCACAACACATGGAAATTATTGAAATACAATTCAAAATGCGATTTGGGTGGGGACACAGAGCCAAACAACATCACCATATCAGCCACAACCAACATCATATTGAATAAGTAAAAATAGAAAGTATTCCCCCTGAGAACTGAAACAAGACAAGATGCCCACTTTCACCAGTTCTATTCAACATAGTACTGGAAGTCCTAGGCAGAGCAATTAAGCAAGAGAAAGAAGTAAAAAACATCTAAATTGGAAAATAGAAAGTCGAACTATCCCAGTTTGCTTATAATATGATCTTTGATATGGTTTGGATCTGTGTCCCTACCCAAATGTCATGTTAAATTTTAATCCCCAGTGTTTGATATGGGCCTAGTGAGAGGTAATTTAATGATGAGGGCAGTTTCACATGAATAGTTTAGTACTATTCTCTTTCTGCTGTTCTCATGATAGTGAGTGAGTTCTTATGAGATCTGGTTGCTTAAAAGGGTGTGGCACCTCCCCCCTTTCACTCTGTTTCTCCTGGTTTTACCATGTGATGTGCCTGTTCCTCTTTCACCTGTTGCCATGATTGTAAGCTTCCTAAGGCCTTCCAGAAGCCAAGGGGGCGTTGCTGGCACCATGTTTTCTGTAAAGCCTGCAGAACCATTATCCAATTAAGCCTCTTTTCTTTATATATTAACTAGTTTCAGGTATTTCTTTATAGCAACCGCCTAATAAAGAAAATTGGTATCTGAAGGGTGGGGCATTGTTACAAAGATAGCTGAAAATGTGGCAGCAGCTTTGGAAATGGGTAACAGGCAGAATTTTGAAGCATGTGGTGGGATCAGAGGAAAACAGGAAGATGAGAGAATGTTTAGAACTTCTTAGAGACTGGTTAAATGGTTGTGATCAAAATGCTCATCATAATATGAAAAATAAAGTCCAGGCTGCAAAGTTCTCAGTTGGAAATGAGAAACTTATTGGGAAATGGGGTAAAAGTTACTTTTGCTATGCCTTAGAAAAGAAGTTGGCTGTTTTATGTCCATGTCCTAGAGTGCCTATGGAAATCTGGACTTGAGAATGCTGATTTAGGGTATCTGGTGAAAGGAATTTGTGTTCAAAATGTTCAAGAGTTTACCTGACCACTTCTAACAACCTATTCTGAGATGCAGGAGCAAATGAATGACTTGAAGTTGGAATTTATATGTAAAAGGGAAGCCGAAGATAAAAGGTTAGAAAATTTGCAGTCTAGCCATGTGGCAAAGAAATAAAAAGACTTTTGAGGAGAGGAATTCAAGCAGATTGTGGAGCAACCACTTGTTCTAGATATGTGAATAACCAGGAAGCCAAGTGTGATGGCCAAGACAATGGGAAAAGGCCTTAGAGGCATTTGAGACCTTCAGGGCAGCCCCTGCCATCACAGGCCTGAAAACCAAGGAGGGAAGAATGGCTTTGTGGGCCAGGCCTAGGTACCCACTGCCCTGAACAGCTTCAGGACATTGCTCCCTGTATCCTGGCAACTCTAGCTTTGACAGTGACTCAAAGGGGCCCAGGTACAGCTCAGGCCACTGCTTCAGAGGGTGCAACCCATAATCCTTGGTGGCTTCTACATTGTGATAAGCCACTGGGTACACAGAATACAAGAGTTGAGTCTTGGAAGCCTCCACCTGGATTTCAGAGACGTATGGAAAAACCTGAGTGTCCAGGCAGAAGCTTGCTTCAGGGGCAGAGCCCTCACAGAGAACTTATACTAAGGCAGTACAGAGGGAAAATATGAGGTTGGAATTCCACACAGAGTCCCCACTAGGGCACAGCCTAGTGGAACTGTGAGAAGAGAGCCACCATCCTCATGACTGCAGAATGTTAGATCCACAGACAACTTGCACCCTGAGCCTGGAAAATCTGTGGGCACTCAACAATCTGTGAGAGCAGATGTGGGGGCTAATCTATGCAAAGCCACAGGGGTGGAGTGGCTCAAGACCTTGGGAGTCCACACCTCACACCAGTTTGCCCTGGAAGGAGGACATGAAGTAAAAGGATATTGTTTTGGAGCTTTAAGACTTAATGACTGCCTGGCTGGGTTTCAAACTGCATTGGGTCTGTAGCCCTTTCTTTTGGCCAATTTCTCCCTTTTGGAAAGGGAGTATTTACCCAATGCCTACACCCCCATTTTATATTGTATGTAACTAACTTGCTTGTATTTTACAGGCTCATAGGTGAAAGGGACCAGCCCTTGTCTCAGATGAGACTCTGAATTTTGGAATTTGAGTTAATGCCTTAAGGGTTAAGGCTTTGGAGGATTATTGGGAAGGCAGGATTGTATTTTTCTAAGTGAGAAGGACATGAGATTCGATGGAGGATGGAGGAAGAATGATATGGTTTAAATCTGTATCCTCCATGCAAATCTCATTTTGAATTGTAATCCCCAATGTTGGAGGTGGGGGCTGGTGAGAGGTGATTGAATCATGGGGGCAATTTCTCATGAGTGGTTTAGTACCATCCTCTTGGTACTGTCCTCACAAAAGTGAGTTTGTGCAATATCTTGTCACTTAAAAGTGTGTGACATCTCTCTCTCTTTCTTGCTTGCTCCTGCTTTTGCCATGTTATATGCCTGCTCTCCTTTTACCTTCCCCATGATTGTAAGCTTCCTGAAGTTTCCCCAGAAACCAAGTGGAAATTGGCATCATGCTTCTTGTGAGCCAATTAACCTCTTTTGTCTAAATATTACCCAGTATCAGGAAATTCTTTATAGCAATGCGTGAATGGCCTACTATAATCTTATACCTAGAAAACCCTAAAGACTCCTTCAAAAGTCTCCTAGATTGATAAATGAATTCACTAAAGTCTTGGGTTACAAAATGGATGTACGAAAAACAGTAGCACTGCTGAAAATAACAGCCAGGCTGTAAACAATATCAAGAACTCAATCCCTGCAGGAAGCCTTCATTCTCAGCAAACTAACACAGGAACAGAAAACCAAACACCACATGTTCTCACTCATAAATGGGAGTTGAACAATGAGAACACATGGACACAGGGAGGGGAACATCACACACCCAGGGCCTGTTGCGGGGTGGGGACCAAGGGGAGAGAGAGCATTAGGACAAATACCTAATGCATGCGGGGCTTAACACCTAGATGATGGGTTGATAGGTGCAGCAAACCGCCATGGCACATGTATACCTATGTAACAAACCTACACATTCTGCACATGTATCCCAGAACTTAAAAGTAGGAAAAAAAAAGAACTCAATCCCACTCCCACTTATAATAGCTACACAAAAAACACATGCCTAATAATATACTTATAAGTAAGGGCTAAGCTATGGGTACACGAAGGCTTACAGAGTGGTCTAATTGACACTGCGGACTCACAAGTGGGGAGAATGGAAAGGAGATGGGGCAAAATACACTATTTGGATGACAAGTACACTAAAAGTCCAGACTTCATAACTGTACAATTTATTGAAGAAACCAAAAATCAATGGCACCCCTAAAGCTATTGAAATAAAATAACAAAATGAAATAAAACAAAACATTAAACTATTAAATAATGCCGGTTCCTATTACATTAACTGTAAATGACATAGATAAACCTGTGCAGAAAAGGACACTGGAAGAGTTGATTCTAAAAAGTGACCTAACTATATGCTATTTATAAGAAATTCACTTCAAATATAATAACGTAGTTATGTGGTAATTAAAATAATGAAAAAAGTTATATCATGAAATAGTAAAAGAATACAAGAATTCCTATGTTAGTGTCAGATAAAGTAGACTTCAAAACAAAATAAAAATTATCAGAGACACAGAGGGATACTACCTAGTAACAATTATCAACCTAAAAGACATAACAATCCTCAGTGTATACCACAGGCAACAAAACTGCATAATATTTGAAGCATATATTGATAGAAGGAGAAATAGACAAATCTAGTACTGTAGTTGGAGACTCCAACACCCCTCTCTCAACTACTGATAGAATAACTAGACAGAAAATCAACAAAGATTTGGAAGACCAATACCATCACCCCACAGGATGTAATTGACATTTATAGACCACCTCCCTTCAGCAGTAGCAGAATATGCATTCTTTTAAGAACCTATTGACTTATATAAAACTTGCTATATTCCTGTAATGGCAAAATTATAAAAATGGAAAACAGATCAATGGTTCCTATCAATCACATTTGTTATGTTTAACATTTTGTTTAAGTTTTTATATTTCTGTGGTGATCATAAGTATCATTCATTTAATTGATCAAAAGGATGAATAAATAATTCTGATAATGAAAATGTGTTAAAGTGCATGTGATTTTAGAATGGTTTATTAAAACAGAGGTAGAATTTGGAAGGAATGACATATTTGCTTTAACTTCTGCCGTGTCTTGCATGGCAAACAGCATTTAACCTTTAATTAAAATTTGCTTTGGACCACTTTTAATGAAATGTACTTGAGAATTTACTATTAAAGTAGTGCTTTTATTCTTACTTTTGAAATTACCATCAAATCAGAAGCTTTGCCAAGAACAAATACCCAAGGATGAATCACCAACTGTCCTACAACTTAGATAAACTAAATAAATTCAGAGAAAACTGTTTTCAACTTCAGCTTTAGGGATACATTCTTCCAAGTATAATGCTGAATAATTTGCAAGCTTATCCTTTAAGGAGATTTGATTTGCACCTAAAAGCTTTGAAAAACCTCTCTTGATCATTACATGCTCACTGTATTTAGTATAACTGTCTTAGAAACATTTCCTTTTCTCTTCATTTGAGCAGCATGATCTGCCTGCGTCTTTCAGCACTCTCAAGAGTTGCATTTCCATAAAAGTATTGAGCTCTGAATTTGAAATGCAGGTACACAATTGGGCACAAAGACAACGAACTGGAATGTTTTATAGCACTCATGTGTTGAAGTCTTCTATAGTGCAGACACTTTGCTAGCTGTCGGGTTAAGTAAGCACCTCAAGCATGTGACTACATTAGGATGCGATCACCTTCAATTTTAGTTACAAATGGTGCCAATAATAGCACTCCATCAACTATTTCACGTGGTAGAACATATCTGCTCTGATTTCCTTAGCTCTAGCTCCTCACCTTCCTCACCTCATTTTCTATCTACATACCTATTCTGTAATTAAATTAGTGAAATCACCCCAAGTGAATTCAAAATGACAATTACCACCAAAGAAGATAATAGAAACTAAGAATGTTCAAAAGACTAAAGGTTGAATTCACTACACTGTTTGCTTTCATCCACTCTAACAATTCATAGATCTTCATATATCAGAAATGAAGCCTTTTTACTATGCACATATTCAAGAGATTATAAGCTATCCCTAAAAATCAGAGTGCATTAACATTCTGTGAATGCTTTTTATGCTTGCTTATCTTTCTTGTTTTCCCCCTGTCCATTTTAAGGGACCAAACTACAAACTACAAACCTCATTCATGAAACCAAAAAAAAAAAAAAAACAAAAAAACAAATAGCAATTTCTGTGTTGGAACTGCAACCTCTCAGCATGTTTTTCCTCTAAGTGACATGAATTTTGTGCCAGATTCTAGATAATTGACAGATTTATGCATGTGCATAGTAACTGGCTTGGTGCCTTTTCTCTCCTGCAAAGAGGAGCTTCTAAAATGTCTTAAGGCCCAGCCAGAAACTTTAGCACATTTTTTGAGCAGGAAGTAGGACTCGTTGTAGTCTTAAAACAAACCTGCTGGTGAATAAAGTCATAATGCTCTGGAAGTGAGGCCATTGCAGGTTAAGAAAGAATAAAAGGGTTGTTGCTTTGAGGCTGCCAAGCTGTAGGTCAAAAATGCATTGCTTAAAAATGAAGAAATAAACAACAAAACACAAAGAAGGAAAAGATATAAATCGGATGCTTCCAGAAACTATTCAGATTCATAGTTGCTTGCTTTCCGGATCTCACTGTAACAGTAAATTAACTTTATTGACTATTTCACTCTATTTTACACACATGAAAAAAAGTGGGGGATCAACCAAATGAATTATATTTAGACATCCTTAACTTAAAATCCACCAAAAACATGTTAGCAATTTAGCATTTTACATTGTTTGGGGGTAATGCAAACTTACTCTGAATTCTTTCCTATGCTGCATTTCACTGTAAACATCTTGAGTAAACAGATCATGGGCCCTAGTGTTTAATCTCTAGTATCATATTAATAATATTTTGATTATTTGCACAATGTATATTCATTATATTGTTTTATCTGAAATCACTCTAAGTTCTTTGAGGTGCTATGATTTGAACAATGCCTCATTATCTTAAATGTACCAAGGAAACTGATTCTATTTAACACATCAAATGAGCATTCTTGATTTTTAAACAGAATAATTTTCACAGGAATGAAATCTAACAACCTTTGTATTTTACTGAGCAATAATGTGCTATGCATCTGAGCAGATCCAAAATATATAAGATACATTCTCAGATCTTAGAAAGCTTACTAATAACACTATAAGAAGATACTTAAGTAGTTAAATAGTGGGAAATTATACATTCAAAAAGAGTAGAAATGACTCAGTGCAATAAAAAGAAACAAAGAATAACATTTCCAGGGAAGAATAATTAAATTTAAATACTTGTTGAGGGACATTTTTTCCCCACAGTACAATAGAAGAGATTAACAATGGTACAACTCCAAAATAAGTATGCATATAAGTCACTGTTGCAATATTTATAATACCATATGATTTAAATACATATGATACTATGTTAGTTCAAGAAGGGAGGGAACAAGTTTGGTGAAAGGAACTATTAACTGTTTGATAGTAAGATACTTAAACATGCTCAAAGGAAGGGATTTAAACAGAGGAAGACATGCTAGTGAGAACAACATGGGTGAAGACGTGGAGGTGATTTTCAGTCATGCACAGAATTAAGATTCCAATTTAGGTAGAGTACAGGCTGCACGTTGTGAAGTAGTGGGAAAACAAACAAACAAACAAAAAAACTTCAAGCTTCTATTGGATTATAATAAAGAATGCTTAAATCCTTCATAGAGGAGTTGAAATGTTAACGGAAGGAAATTTTTTGTCATCCAACACTGATAATCTGATAAGCAAAATTATTTCATAGCTAGAAATATTACAACAATAAAATAGACAAAAAGTATATTGTTTAAAATCAAATCACATGGAAGTGATAATATTTTTTAAAATTATACAAGATTCCCATCTAATGAATACAAGTATTTGTAAATTCAGGAAATAGTGCTTGATGAATTTTTGATATTTGTGGTTTCTCAAAAAAGTGACATGTTTCACATCTCTTATCACTTAGGTACATTGGGTACAGATTTAATTTGGAGTTCGCTTGCAGTCAGCCTGATTAAAATGTCAAATTTTAATGTAAACCAAACATATTTGGAGGAAAGAACACAGGAACCAATTTAATTAAAAACTTCAATCCCAGCACTGTAGTTTAAAGTTTTTCTCCAAGACACAAATTTAACTTTTTTTAAAAAATTAATCATGGGTCTTGTGCTTCTTTGATTAATTTATGGATGACTTAAGTGTCCTCAGAAATACATAACAGGAGAAAATAAGAAAGATATAAATCATATCCTATAAGTAGAGCCGGAATGACCCAAATAGAGGCCATTTACAATCCTAATTTATTTAAAGAATAGGCAACTTGACACCTATGCTAAATGAATTGAATGAAGCAATTAATGTAGTTTTCTCTTTTCATTCACATCCTTCCCATACTGTTGATCTCGGACATCTTCTTTGACTAGTAGACATATTTTCAAATTGATCTAATGGTATTAATGAGAGGGAGTATAAAATAACTCAGTGAGAGGTAAACGGAGAGCAGGAAATCAGCACTCCTAAATTCAGTTGCATGTCTAACTACATCAGGCATTGCTATTAGTGTTCCTCAGTTGTGATCCTAACCAAGTGCTCTAATCACATTTGAAGATACATTCCAAATTCGGCAGTCATTTACATGCTTTTGCATTGTTAATACGTGATCAAAATATGACAGGTACGTTTCAAAATTTTTAGTCCAATTTCAATGCCAATAATACTGGGTAAATATAATTTTTGCTTTTCCTATACAACAGTTAAATAAAATTTATGACATGCTGCAAAGCACTTTTTTTAAATTTTTTAATTTTTTTATTTTTTTGAGGCGGAGTTTTGCTTTTCTTGCCCAGGCTGGAGTGCAATGGCGCCATCTCGGCTCACTGCAAACTCTCCTCCCGGGTATAAGCGATTCTCCTGCCTCAGCCTCCCTAGTGGCTGGGATTACAGGTGCCTGCCACCACACCCAGCCAATTTTTGTATTTTTAGTAGAGATGGGGTTTCTCTATTTTGGCCAGGTTGGTCTTGAACTCCTGACCTCAGGTGATCCACCCACCTCAACCTTCCAAAGTGTTTTTTTTTTTTTGTTCCCCCACATAAAATCATCTCTAACACAGTTCACAATTGTAGGTTAGGAACTATGATTTACCACTAGGCTATTATTCTATTCATGCAAAGCAGAACGAAAATCTCTATGACCATATTTAATGCACAAGAATATGAGATGACGTGATCAAAAATAATTATCAGTTTTATTTTTGTTCTTCTTCACCAGTCCGTCCAACAGGCACTCTAGTTTTACCTTTTGATTATTTAAATAGATGACTTTTTTTTTTTAAATCTTCTTGACTATTGTCATGGTTCTGGTTTCTATCATTTATTATCTTGGCTTCTGTAATAATCTTCTAATTTCAGTTCTTCCCATCACTTAGAAAACTTTCCTCAAAGGTATAATTGTAACCCAAAATATCAGAATGTTTGCTTCTTATGTGAAAGAAAATTTAGAAGCAAAAACATAAAGAATGAGCTAAAAAAAAGATCCAAAATTCTCAATCATAGTTTCATTGGCCCTCCTGACCTGGCCTTGCCCATATCTCTAGTTTTCTCCTTGGCTAATTCCTATAGGCACGCTCTGCTGGAAACACTCCTCTGTACATTGTATTCTCCTGAAATTTGTTTTTTTCCATATGTGTTCCTTTGCTTTCTGTTACCTGATATTTTATTTTGGAAACTTCCTCTTTAATATTCATGTTTATCCCATAAATTTGTTACGTAACTTTCCACTATAACATTCATTACTTTTTCTATATATTTGTTTGTTTTTCTTTTTTTCTTTTTTTTTTTTTTTTGAGACGGAGTCTCGCTCTGTCGCCCAGGCTGGAGTGCAGTGGCGGGATCTCGGCTCACTGCAAGTTCCGCCTCCCGGGTTCACGCCATTCTCCTGCCTCAGCCTCCCAAGTAGCTGGGACTACAGGCGCCCGCCACTACGCCCGGCTAATTTTTTGTATTTTTAGTAGAGACGGGGTTTCACCGTTTTAGCCGGGATGGTCTCGATCTCCTGACCTCGTGATCCACCTGCCTCGGCCTCCCAATTGTTTGTTTTTCTTGACTTTTAGACCATGAAATATTAAGTGCAGGAGATCTGCTTTATCTTTGTATCCTAAGGGTTAACAACCGTATAAGGCATGTAAATAGGTCCTCAATATTTTTTGAAGAAGGTGAGAATAAAATCTTCCAGAGTCACCAGGCCGCATCATACAGATCATATTTGTATTTTTATAGCACTAATGACTTCTTCTATTGTAGAAAATGTTTACAAAGTAATGTAATATATTGTTTAAGTGTGTATGTGTGTTCTTCATTAGACAGTTACCTTCTTTTGTAAAAAACTGTCTTATTTATCTGTTTTACCAAGTACTTGGAAGGGTGCTTAACACTAAATAGTGATATTCATTGATTATTGAATAATTGCTCAAATTCTTTGATTATTATAGCAATTCTGAAATTTGCTTAACTGGATTCACAAATTATAGAACAAGAATTTCTTCTTTGCTTGTGTAAAGTTGGATATCTTTTATTTGCAGTTTCTGTTAGAATTCCCAAGCTGATTAATTCCATAGACATACATATACATAATATATATAAATATATATAAAAATATATAAAAATATATAAATATATATAAAAACATAAATATATATATATATAAAATCAGGCTCCCTACTTTAAGTAGTATTGAGTAAAAAGTTCATGATTCTTTAGGACAGTTATAATCAAGTCCCTCTTCAAATAAAAATGTCTACATTTCTTTCAAATACAGTATAATTACATGCAGGAAAGAGACCACTAAAATGTAAATGGGCAATATCTAGATAAAAAGGTAATATTCAGAAATATATATATCTATGTATATATACCTAAATAGTCAAATTCTAGTTTTGTAACTTTCTGTAGCTCTATGACTTTGGGCAAATTATTTTACTGTTCTGTGCCTCAGTATCCTCTACCATAAAATGAAGATAATCTTAATGCGTAACTTCTTTAGTTATCATGTGGTTAGAATAGGTTAATTTATGGAAAAAGACCCTACAAAACTTCCTTGAAGATAGAAAATACTCATTAATATAAACCATTATTAATTTTTTGGGTCAAATCAACATATGATACCATGTTAATTTAAATTATGCCACTTGGGAAAATGTTTGGTTTTAAATGCAAACCTTAGTATTTTGAAAGGGGCACATGTTACGTTTTCAAATGACATATTTACATTTATCAAACAGATAACTAGAATAATTATGTCAACATATATAATATTTATTAGCTAATTAGATATAATGCATCTGAAAATAGTAAAATCATTCAATGTAAAAAAGATGTTTAAATTTTCATATTGGAAATCTTTAATTGCTTGGATTTTTAT
This sequence comes from Homo sapiens, assembly GCF_000001405.40. Taxonomy (NCBI): domain Eukaryota; kingdom Metazoa; phylum Chordata; class Mammalia; order Primates; family Hominidae; genus Homo; species Homo sapiens. The sequence continues at coordinate 7,888 of NW_013171800.1, read as the reverse complement.
CATCTCATAACTGAAATTTCCTGAGTTTGATAAAAGCTCTGCAGCAACAATGTGTTCGTATCAAATTTGCAACAAACTATATAATTTAAATTTTCACTTTAAGAAAATAAAATCCAAACAATAAAAATGTTGTTTTCATTTGATCAGATTACATGGGCCAATGACACTTGACCTTCTTTAGAGATTAATATAAACTTTAAATGGACAAGAAAAATCCAGAAGCTTGAAATTAGAAGAGTGAAGCTTAACACTGAACATAGTCTTAGCATTACTATTGATATAAAATACCCTTATTGAACAAAAAAGTATATTTCTAAAATATGTTTAAAATATTTCAACTCAACTAGGATGTATTAAATTTTATATTAATGGTCAAGTTTTGATAACCTGAATCTCTGCTAATTTATACAAATGTTAAGTCAATTGAACATTTATGCCAGTGAGATCAGAACTTCCCACTGTACATTTTTACATGAAAAAAAATTAGTCTACTTTTACAGATAATGGCAATATCTCCAGTCATTAAATTGCTCCCCAAAGCACGCTCTTGGCATATTAACTTAAGACCAAAAAAATCAGGAGAAAATCTCAATATGTAGGGCTGCTTTTGGAGTAATCAACTGTATTAACATTTCCAAGATACACCATACTTTTGCTAATGTCAACTATTCTGCTTTAGAATTGAGATTAGAAGAAAAGTTTACATAAGATTCCCCATTTTTGACAGCATTTATTTTGATTATATTACCATGTTTGCAATAGAATAGGTGTTTAGTAGATATTGAGTATAATAACATAATGAAATCACCTAATATTTGTTTGTTTCTTTTTTTTTTTTTTTTTTTTTTTTTGACGGAGTCTCGCTCTGTTGCCGAGGCTGGAGTGCAGTGGCGGGATCTTGGCTCACTGCAAGCTCCGCCTCCTGGATTCACACCATTCTCCTGCCTCAGCCTCCCAAGGAGCTGGGACTACAGGCGCTCGCCACGAAGCCCGGCTATTTTTTTGTATTTTTAGTAGAGACGGGGTTTCACCGTGTCAGCCAGGATGGTCTCAATCTCCTGACCTCGTGATCCGCATGCCTCGGCCTCCCAAAGTGCTGGGATTACAGGCGTGAGTCACCGCGCCTGGCCCGAAACCACCTAATATTTCTTTCTTAATTGTTCAGTCGCTAGTGCTATTTTCCATTATTTTGCTTTCTCTTGCATAAATGAGTCTTGATGAGGAGTTTGAATCAGAGGATTGGTTTAGGAAACTAAAGAAAAATGTACAGGCTGATAATTGAAAAAGGGAACACAAAAGACTAATATATTTAAGCTGAGTTTAAAGAAAAAACGAAAGAGAAAAAGAAAGAAAGAAAACATTTCTAGAGTAGAAAGGAAATAAGATGAATATATCAAATTTTTTAAAAAAAAATAGGACCAATAAAAAACTTACGGAGAGCAACATAATAATAACCAGAGAAAATAATATTTTTGTAAATAAATTTTTAACTACTGTAAGGAATAAAATGTTGCATTAATGAAAATAATAAATTATTAAAACATATAGAGCAATAAAAGTTAGAAGGGACAGAAAGAGATACATAAGGTTAGGCATTTTCATATGTTAAAAATTTTGGCTCTATTATATATTCTATGGTGTATTGAAAGGAGATTATTATTATAATAAACAGAAAGTAATGACACACTCATTAGTGGAAATTGAGAGAATCTGGTACATATCCAAGTATCCAGCTGCAGCATTTAACTCAATGTTTATGATATATTTTCAAATCCTTTGCTTCAAGAGAATATTCAAACAATTATGCGTGAATTATTTTTTGTGTTCATAGTTAAAATAAAGAAGAATTGTATTTTTGTGTAATACTTCATAATTAAAGAAAGTTAAGTGAGTTTAAGGGCAAGAGCAATCAATTTTTATTTATTTTTACCACAAATGTGGCTTGTTATGATTTTTTATTAGTTTATATGTGTATTTATTTTCATTTTTACTATCAATCACTTTTGGGACATTGACACTTTTAGATGAAAATGTAATGGTCACTTTCAGATAAGAAAGAAAAATTAGTGAAATCATTAAAGTAGAAAAATAGAAGAAAGAATAAAATGACATATTCTACAGTAGTAAAAATTATATTTCATTTTAATTTATACTCCACAAGGTTCTCATGAGTTTCCCATAAGGAGACCAATCTTCCATTCAGGTTTTCATTGCAATGCCTTTGTTAGAACATGTCTGTTATAAAAAATTTGAAAATATAAATCAATCATAATCTTCACATATTTTCCTTGAAGATATTTATTTGCTAAATATTTTCTTTAATATTCAGTTTCATGGTACTTGATTCTTTTCAGCAGGCCATTCATTCTTAGGTAGTCCCCTGTTCAGGAAGAATAGCCACCCTAGAATAAATATACCCCTAAATGAGTTATTTAATTAAGAAAAGCCTCATTTCTCTACCTTTAAAATTTATATTTACTACCATTAAAGTAATTAATGCACCCAAATAAAAGGCTCAAATGAGGCATCTTTCCTCTATTCAGAGGAGCCCTCATTAACCTAGAAATGAAAGAGAGGAAGGAAGAGTTAAAGCATGCTACAACAGAACTTATTAGATGTTAAAGGATTTCTAGGTTCAGCCAATTTCTAAAATAATCGCTATGAAAAAATTAAATATTCTTTTCTTACACACCCTGGTTATCCTCTCAGTTTACTTTCCAAAACAATTTAGTCATTGACTGCACTCACATAGAGTAAAAACCAAATGTCTTGGCCGTGTGCTTTGTCATCAATGTACTTTTCCAGCCACATATTCCACAGAACCATTGAACATGTTGTTGCTTAAATATATTTTACATAATTCAACATCCACATCCACACTTTTAAATTTCCTTCTCCTTTCCTGAATTCTTCATGGCAAGACAGTTGGGGTTTAAATCTCAGCTTATCCACTTATGAGCTGCATGACTTTGGGTAAATTAAAGTAGTATGCGCTTTAGTTTCTTTATCTGCTAAATAGGGGCAGAAATAGTATATATCTTACATGAATAAATGAGTTAATGACTGGATGCTTTTATTCACTTATGTATCTTCCCAAATATAGGACACAGGTATTTTACTTTTCAGAACTTTTAAAGCACGAGACAAACATTACTGAACCATGAATAGTAAGGAGTAGGCCACACTAGAAAGGCCTGGCCTGAGTTTGTTGACTGAAAGGAATAATCATTTGAACCTAGAAGTTTACTAATAAATTGCATAGGTTTACTAATAAATTAATCACCAAGCATTTTGAAGAATATACTCCTGATAATGCCACAGAGAAAGAGTGAATCCCCAGTTCTTCATGGAGGTACACCCTACTCTGCCATTGTTTGTGTACCCAGGACCAAGTTTGAGAATGCACTCAGGGTCTACACCCAACATAAGGTAAGGGAAGCAGGATTAAGCAGAGGGAGAAGCTGAACTATGAAGTGTTTCAACAGAAGGCTCAGATGATCCACTGGCAAACCCTGGAGCTAGGGTGGCCTATAGATTTCTCTCAAATTCAGGTAAATGAACCAGGTTTTGTACCTCTTTCATCAAATAGTCACTGGATATGAGCTGCCCCAGAAAAAGGCCATAAACTTTAGGGTGGCATCTCCTTTCCTCTGAGGGTAATCCAGAGACAATATGTGATGTGGTTTTGCAGCCAGCACTCCCGTCAGCTGAGGGAACGTGTGCCTCAGCCATGTAGGGGAGATTTGGTGATGCATCTGTGTGTCCTTGAAGCCCCTTAAGGTTGAGTTCTGTGATAATTGTATGGACATTGCCAAGTTAGAGTAGCCAGAGAAATTGGTTTACTACATTTCATATCATGTGAGAGAAAATACACTCAGAATTACATACCTTCTATTTCTGACTGAATAATCTAATTTATACAAGGTCTGTCTATGGCCTATAGAAGATTATATTTAATTTATAGGCATTCAATACCAGCCAAATAAATTTATAATTAGGGTGTTTGCCACCAATTTAGGTTAGTGCAGAATAAAGTCATTTATATGTTCAAGAAGATAGTTCAGCAGAAGATGTGAGGGAGTAAAAGGAAGATTTTCCATTTTAACTAATTTTCAATTTTATTTTCCCAAGGAGAGGTACAAATTTTCCTATCACATTCCAAGTTAAGACTGGAGTGATTTAAACAGGAATTAGCCAATTTCTACTCTCAAAAAGTCATACAAAACTCTAAGCAATAAGTAGTTGATTTCCATAGGGTTTTTGCATGAATAACTGTAGGCATGATTGAGCCCACGCTCGCATCTTTATTGAGGTTGAGTTTAAGGTTTAAACCAATAACTTCAGTGAAGGGTGTGATTTAAAAACATCTTTCATATACTTAAGTTGAGTAGAATTTTCTCTTATCATTCATGTTTATGATGTAAAACCACTCCATTGGGTCAATTTAAAGCATGACTGATGCTATTCAAATATAAAATTTATAGCTTTCCTAAAATTTTATTATACATAAAAATCTTACTAAAAGAGTACGGGAAGTTTAGAGTGTTTAGAAATGGCTAGGAAAAAAATGCAAAAAAACAAACTGCTCTATAATATTCAAATACTTTCAATTTAATTTTAAAATTCAGTTTCTATCACTTTAAAAGACAATGAATAATTAATAAATTAAATTTTGTAAAGCAGAAATAAATATGATATGCCATTTCTTTTTTTGCCTGAGTTTCAAGTTAATTTTTTATTTTTATTTAAATGGTGGTTTGACCATCACATTCTCATATGAATTATGAAACACAAACTCTAAATTCAGAGAAAGATAGTAAGTCATAATTTGGGATAACAATAAAAACTAATTTTAATTTTTAAAACCAAAATGGAAAATCCAAGGTGACAGGTCAAAATGGAAGTGGTATTTATTGTCTTTATGTGTAGTTGTAATATGTAAAATATTGTAGTGAACACTAAAATAAGCAGTCAGAACAAAATCTTAAAGATGACCCCTAGAAGTAAGCATAGGAAATTAACATTACTAAACTTATAAATAGCCCCAGGTATAGTGTGTTATATGATCAAATAGGTTAGTTTCCAAAGACCAGACAGATTGGAGAAACTGATGAAAGCATGAACCCATTTTATTTTAGAACATACTTCTTTATGTTGAAATTAGAACATAACTTTTCAGGACCTTAAGATTTTCCAGAGAATTGCATTTTGTTCCACAAATAATCACTATTTTTAAAATACATAAATCATATAATTAAGAAGTGCTAATAACAAAAACGATTATTTGTGTTTACTAATTGGTATGCTCAAAATATCTATAAGTAAGTTTGCAGGCCAGTAAAAGCTTTAAAGGGCCCGACACTAAAATTTTCTAAAGATATTCTCCTCTTTAATATTTTCACTAACATTAATTTATTGCCCATCTATCCACACCATGCTGGACACATCTTCAAATTTTATGCAATTTAATTTTTACAAGTGCAAGATATGATTGCTATCTCAATTATTTTACAGATGAAAAAACTAAGATTTTATAAGAGTAAATAATGTACCCCAAATTCAAACCTAAATATGTTGTTCTGCCATGTTTTTTCTTACACATAAATTTCTTTGGTAAAATTTAGAAGGATATACACCTAATAACAACGAAGATTACCAACAGCCTTCTAATCAGTGGAAACTATATCTAGTGCTTTATATTCAGCACTGTACATTCCTATCACAACTCAGAAAAAAAAAGTACTTTTCACATTTGAAATAACTGAGGCTCAGAAAGTTTGTACAACTTGCCCACATAGTAGCACAGTTTACCAAGAACCTATAAAGTGCAGTCCTTGTTGCCACTGTGATATATTTATTTAAAAATAGCACGTCACAGTGATATTTATTTATTTAAAAAATAAATAATCCGGGAGCATGAATTAGGGCTATGAAAAGGAGAAACCTGTGGGAAGAACTCAGAAAAAAGACATGTCTAGATTTTAAATGAGAGAACGGTTAGAGGAACTATCAGAAGTTCTATGAGCTCCTTTTAACAATTTGAGAAGTTCTGATAATGTGCTTCGTGACCTTATGGTCATTTCATCATTCAGAAGCTACAAGAGTCGGATAACTAAGCCTTACATGTATGCTGTGAGAACTAACTAGATAATGTTAGTAATGTTTACTGAGTTCCTTAGAGAAAGGTGTCTAAAACTTTATAACCTGTTATAAAGAAATGCACTGAGGCTCTTTTGGTCCCTAACACAATTGGTGAGAATACAGAATATCTCACATTTGCGAAGGAAAGAGAGTAGAGAGGCACTAGAAAAAGATGGAGTACAGCACATAGAAGCATTTTCTTTTGCAGACAGTCTATATTTGCAGTTTATCTAACAGATAAAAGCCAGAAAAGTAAAATGAAAAATCAGTTATTGTGACTAATTCAGTTAACAAGATTAAGAGCAAAGGGCCTAAAATGCTGTATACAGAAAGAGAATGCAAAAAAAAAGTAATTGAAAGTAAAGACTTGCTAGCTGATGGGAAGCTGAGCTCTCCAAATCAGTCAGCTTAGAGTTTAGTTCACATTTGTGCCCAGGAGAAGGATTTATTTCTGATTATTTATTGGCTTTTGAAGTCAAAGTATTCTTAAACTAAAAGATCCATGGAAAGTGCAGTTGGGTAAGGGCTATATGTGCCATGTATCTGCAGAATTTTCAGGAGAATAAACAAGTCCTCAATGTATACAGATTAGAAAGATATATAAAAGACCACTTGCTTCATTATAGATCATTTTTTAGTCCCTAAATTGTCTAAATCTATAATTCTGTGTGTATGTGTATATGTGTGTGTATTTATATAATCTGCATTGCCAGATTTAACAAATAAAAATACAGAAAATCCACTTAAATTTGGATTTTTGATGAAAAGCAATTCTTAAATATATCTCCATCATTTCATCATACATACTTATACTAAAATATTGTTTGTTGTGTATCTGAAATTCAAATTTAACTGGCATCCTGTGTTTTATCTAACAGTTCAAGATAGAACCTTGGCACCAACATTGGGGAGGAAGTTTTTCTGTGTTCACACAGATGAAGAAACAAGACTTTTAGAAAAATAAATTGTTTTGTTTTGTTTATTTGCCTATTAACTAACCCAGATGACTCTTATGAGAGCAAAAATGCCCAAAACACTTCATTTTCAATTAAATTGACTGAAATTAGCTCAGATCCTAAGATATCAAAACTGACAAGCACCAGTATTTCCTAGGAGTCTGACTGGTGATACCCCTAAATTGTCTGTAGCTTAATCTCACACTGAAAAAAATACTGTGTTTTGAATCACATGTAATTCATATTTTATTGTGTATAGATTTGTCATATATGGTGAAGATATGACCTTATTCTCTTAGGAGTTTGGCTATGCCTGGACCCAAGTGGAAAAGTGGCGGAACAGGCCTCTTATAAATGGTTTGAGTGTGTACAGAGGAACTAGAAGAACACAATCAAGCTGTCCAGTTGGAAATGCAGACATCACTGAATATATGTTGAAGTATGCATTTGTCAATTGTGCCACCTTTGGTTAATTTACATGCATATTGTGCAACTGACCTTGTTATAATTCATTCTAGGAGAATAAGAAATTGGGCACCACAAGTGAGATTCAGCATCAAAGCTCTTGAGAGATGTAGAACTGTGTTTGTTGGCTGTTACCTTGTGCAAACTGACCTGTACTATTTCCATTATTAATTTCAACATTAAGGATTACTGGAAATCTTACTAGAAAACATTTTTAGCCTTGAATTGTAAAATGTACATGAGGACCATGTAGGCACTCACCCTATTTGCCCATCCCCTTCCCTTTTCTAGTTATGTTCAATGGAACCAAGTTACAGACTGAATTC